>NC_000011.10:40363030-40666060 GCF_000001405.40 Homo sapiens | reverse complement strand
CTCATCATAATAAACCAGGACCTGTACACATGAACACACACCTATATATAGAAAAAAGCCAAACTTTCTACATTCACACACATATACACACACACAAATATATATACACATATATAAATAACACTTATGTATTTGTATATACATAAATAACATTTTCTGCCATATATTGTATTCTATTCTATTAAATTCTATTTCTTATAGGTAAAAATTGTGGGTAAAGACTTGCTAAATTGACTGGCTAATCTAATAAGGGGCAGTTATTAGCACTTTGAAAAATTATGCTGTAAGTTGTATACCCAATAGCAGAACGGTTATAGGAAATAGAGATCTTCATTTTCCTGATATTGTTAAATTGCTCCTCAAAAGCATTTAAAAATTTTACACACTCATGAGTAGTATAAATGACTTTCTATTTTCTATGTTCTGTTTTCTTTTCAGTTCTCTACATTCTGTAGTTTTCTCAAACTGTCCTTCTCTGGTTTTGGAAAGATGATTAGAGGAGATGATGAGAGGTGTTGTGATTCTCTGAAAGAGTCATGGTATGCCTTGGCAGGACTCATTGTGCCAAAAATGTGCATAAGCCTTATAACACAATAGAAATAGAATATGGAATCATCTAACTATGAGACAACAGGTGTTTCTTTAGATGAGCCTCTCACTCCTACCCCTAATAATATATATATATATATATATATACATATATATATATATATATATATATATATATATATATATTTTTTTTTTTTTTTTTTAAGAAAGCAATGACCCCAGGGCTTTGGGTTCTTCTCAAGCTGGTTGTTTCTTTATTAAAGTTGCTGAAGCCACCAAATTCCATATTTTTCTAGGAATAAGGTAAAGGGGAAGCATCAGGAATCTGCATTCATTCACCTATACCTTTGATTTCCTGAATATATTTTGCATGGCTTATTTACAGATCTGTTGTTAAATGAGGTTGAAAGTATCCTACCAGAAGATAAATTGTCATCCTTGACAAACCATCATTCTCAGCAAACTACCGCAAGGACAAAAAACCAAACACCGCATTTTCTCACTCATAGGTGGGAATTGAACAATGAGATCACTTGGACACAAGAAGGGGAACATCACACACTGGGGCCTGTTGTGGGGTCGGGGGAGGGGGCAGGGATAGCATTAGGAGATATACCTAATGTAAATGACGAGTTAGTGGGTGCAGCACACCAACATGGCACATGTATACATATGTAAAAAACATGCGTGTTGTGCACATGTACCCTAGAACTTAAAGTATAATAAATATCTATATATATATTAAAAAAACAGAACCACATTATGTTATCTGACCTATTCTTTGGGATTATTTGTTCCTTGTTTCTTGAAGGTCTAGGGGAATTTGTCTGTAAAATCATTACGCCTACATTTTGTTTGGGTTTCTTATATTGCTGATAATCTCTGTGGTCTCTTTGTCATTGCTGCTGTTTTCTTTAATTTCTGCATCCATTACAAACTTTTCTAATTTGTTCTCACATTTTTTTTTGAGACAGAGTCTCGCTCTTTCGCTCAGGCTGGAGTGAAGTGGTGTGATCTCGGCTCACTGCAACCTCCACCCATCGGGTTCAAGCGATTCTCCTGCCTCATCCTCCCAAGTAGCTGGGGTTACAGATGCCCACCACCACGCCAATCTAATTTTTGTATTTTTAGTACAGATGAAGTTTTGCCATGTTGGCCAGGCTGGTCTCGAACTCCTGACCTCAGGCGATCCACCTGCCTCTCCCTCTCAAAGTGCTAGGATTATAGGCATGAGCCACCATGTCCAGCCCACATTCTCTTTTTCTTTAACTTTTTAAAATCTTTTTGTAGTTAAATGCTATATAAGATATGCATTTAAAGCTTAAGTTGTCATGCATCCTTCCATGTTGAATTATACACTACTCATTGACATTCAGTTCCAAATATTTTATAATATCAAGTATAATTTCTCCTATGTATGCAGAAATAATTGAGTAAAGTGCTCTATATATGTAATTGGATCAAGTTTATTCATTGGCTTCAAATGCTCTGTAAAGGTTTTATATGCGGGACTTCTGTACAACCTTTGATCAGACAAAATCATCAAGAAGATTGGAACTAGCTTTAATTTTGCTGAGATTCTCTATGATGTCTTTATAATTATTCTTCCTATTCCTCTTTATTTCTGCAATCATTTTGATGGTTGATCTTAAGTACTCAGTGAGGTGTGTTAAAATCTTCCACTGTGATTATGGGATTGTCTAATGTTTCATTTTAGTTCCGTCATTTTTAATTTCATCTATTTTGAGACCATAGTATTGTTATTAGGTACAAATTTAGAAATTCTCTCACTTCTACTTGTATAACTTCATGTTGAATGGAGATTCCCTCTGCTGTTAGAGCCTTTTGCCTGTTTCTATTTAGATATGCATCTTTCTGTTTGGCTCACCCCACTGGCTAAATTATTTTTATTTCTCACACCTGGAAGTTCTTCCCCCACCATTTTTTCAGACCTGTGTATTTGTTGTTGCTGTCATCTTTCTTTGTTTCATATCCAACATTTTGACATTTCTACCTGTCTTATAATAGAAAATGTGTCTAGGTTAGTCCAATCTGCTATATGGTCAGAATCAGAAATTCAAACCACAATTAATTACCAAAAGGAAGAATTTACATTCTAACTAAATAAATTGGCTGGGTGCGGTGGCTCACGCCTGTAATCCCAACACTTTGGGAGGCCAAGGCTGGCAGATCACAAGGTTAGGAGTTCGAAACCAGCTTGAACAACATGGCGAAACCCCATCTCTACTAAAAAAATACAAAAATTAGCCAGGCATGGTGGTGCACGCCTGTAATCCCAGCTACTCAGGAGGCTGAGGGAGGAGAAGCACTTGAACCTGGGAGGCGGAGGTTGCAGTGAGCTGAGATTGTGCCACTGCATTCTGGCCTGGGCAACAGAGTGAGACTCCGTCTCAAAAATAAATAAATAAATAAATAAATCTATCTTATCCAAGTGACTTATTCCAACCAAAATAACACAAAACAGAAGCCCTATTGATTTTCTATTTCTAGGAGATATAATTTAACTTATGAAATTATTTCAGAACTAGCACATTATTATGATGATTTCTACCAACCACACCACTACTACTATTTCAAATATCCAATATTTATAGAGTGCATATCCTGTGATAGCTACTTTATAAAGTGCTTTATGCATGTCAACTAAATCTTCACACAAATACTATGAAGTAGGTGCCATTATGATTCCCTTTTGAATGATGAAGCAACTGAGTTGTAGTGGTTAAACAACTTGCACAGAGTTACTTAATTATTAAATGACAGAACTAGGATTTGAACCCAGATCTTCTGATTCTAGAGCCCTGATCCTCACCAGAATACCACTACTGCACTTAGACAAAATGAAGAGATGTCCCTTCCCTGGGCCCCTCCCTTTAAAAGGATCAGAACTGAATTTCCCTGGCCAGTTTCTTTTCGTGAACACGGACTTCATGGAGCTAAAGCTATGTTCCTCCCGATAGTCCCCTACTGTATTCTAGACCATGCCCCAGTGTTCATTCAGACCCAGAAATCCCTGCCCAAACTCTTTTTTAAGGGTCTGCAAGGTTGTCTTTTCTCATTGTGTCTTCCTGAGAGCAGCTATAACTACTGTAATGGGTACCTCTAGCCCAAGGTAGACTTTATATAGGGTTTGTGGTCAGATCTTGGACATGTAGGCTAGAGTGTCCACATGCATTCCTGTGGGGTCTCTTATACAAAGCTGGACTTAACAGGGGTAAGAATGAATAAGATATGGGCTTCAGGAAGTGATCTGGCCACCTAGGATTGACATTTCATTTCAGTAAAAACACTTCTAGGAATCTGAGAATTCTAATTTTGAGCTTGACCTTGCAGGACATTATGCAGATGATAGAAGGATTTTATTTAATAATTATTTAGCATGATTTGTAACTTTTAAATATTCAGACATTTGAATGTGAGCCTCCATTCATTAGGTATCTATAAATGCTAAGAGTGAATTTGTGTAACACACATACTGTCCATTTGTGGACTTTCCCCTAATATGACAGCTTCCTCATTCCTTTTCTCCACAGAATTTAGATAAATGTCTCTGCAACATGGATTTCATTCTTTACTTCTCTCTGCGGATGTTCTGATTTGCTTATATTTGGGGTTTAGAGTTGGGGGTTTGTGTAACAAGAAGGTAGCAGAGTTGACACATAGACTATAAAGAATCAAGCTCACAGGATTATTTCATCTGCATCTTTCCCAATAGAGCATATAGCAGTTAGTAGCAATTCAAAAAATGCTTTTGGGATAAGTGAAAAATAATAGCTACCATTAATGGAACATTTATGATATGTCAGAGGTAATGCTTACTACTTTCTATAGGTTATCTTATTTAATATTGAACTGAAACACTTTTAGTTAAATACCATTATTACCACCTTCTAAAGAGGAGAAAACAAGCTCAGAGAGTAACTAGCTCAAGGTGAGAAAGTCAGTGATTGACAGTTTGGAGTTAAACTGAGTATGACTTGATAATGAATGCAGATGATTATAATGTTGTTTTATTCCCAAGGAAATAATAATTTAAAAAATAGATATGATTTTCCTTAAATTCAAGTTCATCCTAGAAACCTAGCTCAAACAGTTGTTGTATGTGTCATATCATATGCTTTGCACATCTTGTTTTGATGCTTTCTTAGGCAGGTGAGACTTGAACAGCTAAATACAATAATATAAGTATGTTTAAACTCAAATTTTGTTTCAAATCATTAGAAAATAGATGATATTCTATTTACTAATGTTAGGATAAGAGTGAAAAGAAAGCAGGATACACATTGGCATCATCTCCTTTTTGCAATCAATATATTAACACATTTTTATTGAGTTATATCAGTTATCATTATTTATCATGCTTTTGATTGAAGATGCCAGATAGGATATTGTCATGGTAATTCTAATAATTCAATTCGTTATTGTATGTTTATGTCAAAAGTCCCATTGAGATTTGGAATGCTGGTGACACAAATGCAATAAAAAGAAACCCCTTTATTCATTTATATTCAGTAAAACAATATTAGGTGATACATTCCCTCTTCCTTATGGTTAGCAATTTGAATCTCATGATCCTCTATTAAATTTATTATTTGTTGGGACATAATTTGCAAAGATTTCATCTTTAATATTAGTGTTTCTGTTTTAGCTTTCGTTATAAATTATGTGTTCACATTCACACGGTGAGAATATATTCTTGTGGAAATTATCATGGTAAATGGGCACAAAACTATCAAATTGAAAAGAAGCTGGAAAAATGTGCAGGAGATGATTGCATTTATTGATACTGGAGCTTGAGTCCTGTGGGGGTGTCAGTGCCTGCTGGACTCTAAGAATCAGGAAGAGATCATTGTGTGCTTACTTGCCTTCATACTTGCTCTGTGACATATTCAGCAGAAGCAGCAACAACATGTGGCAAATGTCTCAACGAGATATAGGATTTGGCCTCTCATTAGAATGGAACTAAAGCCATCCTCAGAAGGTTAGCAAGAATTTTGGACAGAAATATATTTATAACCATGCATTAATAAGGCTGCACTTTTGTCACAGGATCCTTAGGGTTTTGCTTTTCCAGCCAGAAACTTCTGTGGCCAGTGGTGCCTTTGCCCGAGTTCTGCTTGGGCCTGCTGGGGTTATTCTGCCCACTTGGCCCAGCAGGCTGCACTCCACTCATGCTGCTGGCCTAGATCCCATGCCTGCTGAGGGCAATCCAGGTGCTGAGTGGCAAGGGTTGTGTAAGCGAGCAAGCATGAGGTCTAGCCACTGCACACTGCCAGGCACACCAGCTGCTGTGGTGGGGCAGGCAGCTCCAGGTGCTGGCACAGGTTCCAGCTCTGTGTAAGGCTGTGGCTGGATCAGAGGTACCAAAAGCAGCTTCCACTGCAGGCACCTGTGTGTGGACAAGGAGAATGCAGTGGCGCTCAGAAGCTTGGAAACACAAGGAACTGCAGAGCCCCAGAGAGGGTGTCACAGCCCTGGCTCAGGGAGCCCCTAGATCTTTTATCCTTCTTGTTGCCTGCAATGTGATGAGCAGGGGGGTATGTTTCAGCCCTGTTTGTGTTACAGCTCTTTCAGTCCCACCATTTGGTACATCCTGAGTACTTGTCCCACATCCATAAAGAATGAGGTACATGGACAACTGGAGGGTGAGCAAGGTGGAGAGGAGTTTTCTCGAGTGACAGAACAGCTCTCAGAAGACCTGAAGTGCATAGCTTGTTTCTGCAGGCAAGACCCAAAGTGGATAGCTTGTTTCCACAGGCAGGTCGTCCTGAGAATGTCCAGCTCTAAATGGAGAGGAGAGCTGTAGTGGGTAACTCTGTGGGTAACTCTTTTCCACAGGCAAGTCCTCCCAACAAGTCAAAGATACCCTAAGTTGGTAGTTCCTTCCCATAGCTGGTAGTCTCAACATCTCTGTGAGTCTGGCTGAGTCTGGGGTTTTTATGGGCTCACAAGGGAGGAAGTGCATGCTGATTGGTCCATGGGCAACCAAGGGCAGGCTGGAAAAAGCACCATGAGCTCTGACTCCAGGTCATGGACTCCACCTGGAATTGGTAGCCTGGACCCCAGGCTTCAGGACATCCCTGGCTTGAAGGTAGGGTTTCACCAGGGACCCCCTCCTTTCTGCCTGGGAACCTATCTGCCTTCTGCCATCAACATGCCATCCACAGCCACAGGCTGTTCCTGCCACCACCCAGCCTCCTTCCTGCCCTCATCAGGGCCCAAAGTCCAGAGAGGACCAAGGTGGCAGGGGACTGGCATGTCAGCACTGCTCCAAGTGCATGCACATCTGACTGGGTCACAACAGAGCCTGAGCTCAGCCACAACTTTGCTCTGCACTGGAGTGGGTGCCAGGAACAGGGAGAGGCCAGACACAGGAGCAGGATCTTCCAAGCCTATGGATGTAGGGGCTTCCTGGGCCCCCAAGAGTGCAGCAATGCCTGGGTCCAGAGCCATTTCTGGGTGGCTGCAGCTGTGCCAGGGAACATGGGGCTCCCAACCTGCCAACTCATTAGGGTGCAGGGCTCTCATCTCTGCCCAGCTCCTGCTGGCTATCCAGAGCATGCAGCCCCAGCAGTTCCTCCCCTGCTGCAGCCGGCATCCCCACAGTGGTCATTGCAGATGGGCTGTCACTGCTATCACTTTGACCCACATTCTTGTAAGGGAAAGTTACTTAACACTAGATATTGACCATATGCATTTCCATTGTTCCTATACCTAGGGCTTCTGACATTAGAATCTTAAAACTTGTTTAAGAATTGCTTAAGCAGATTTTGAATTCCAGCAGAACATCTGATACCAACCAGTTTAAGGACCCCCAGAGAGGAACCAAATCATCCTGAGAATACAATTTCTTCATCTTCCTGTCCCATGACTTCACCCTGCACTCTTCCACCAGTCAACGATTGCCACACCCACACTTAGACTCATTCCAAAACCCTTAAAAACTCTAGCCCAAAACTCCTTGAAAAGGCAGATTTGAGGTTTCCTCACATCTCTTCTTTGGTAGCTTTACAATTAAACCCCTTTCTCTACTGAAACCCAGTGTCTCAGCATACTGACTTGACATGAACACTGGGCAACAGAAGTGTTATGGTTACAGAACCATGAAATAAACCTACTGCCAAAAGAGATAAGATGAGATTTCTAACTATTAGTGAGCCTTAGTATTTAAGCATCATGATTCAACCTTAAATAAGGCTCTTTTAGCTTTCATGTCAAGCCTAGATGGTAGGCAAGAGCCAAGGGCAGGTGTTCTAAATTCTACATAAAGGTTTGAAGCCACATTTGCCTACTATGGGACACCAAATTCCTTACCCTTCCTATAATATAAAGGACACATATAAGGGAGAGTTAATATGTGTCCTGATCTAATGTTTACTATAAGATAACATTCTTTATTTTAATGATGTTTTGCTTCTTAGAAAATATTGACTCTTTGATTCAGGTATGTGGAAAGACTACAGAGATTGGGTGCAACTAAGAAACTGTCAACTTGTACCTACTTCCATGTGAAAAGTCTGGCTTTGTTGTTTAGTATATCTTGCCCTTGTTCTTTGCCCTTAATCCAATTATATTGATATTATAGATATAACTGGACATGAAGCTAAGTGGAAGGCTCCCTATTTCCCCTTGTGAGCCCCAAAGATTTGAGGCAGGTCTCAGTTAATTTAGAAAGTTTATTTTGCCAAGGTTGAGGACCCTCACCTGTGACACAGCCTCAGGGAGTCCTGACAACATGTGCCCAAGGTGGTCGGGGCACAGTCTGGGTTTATATATTTTAGGAAGACAGAAGACAACAATATATGTAAGAAGTACATTGGCTTGGTCTGGAAAGGCAGGACAACTTGAAGCAAAGGCGGGAAGACTCCAATCTGGGAGAGGCCTTCCAGGTCACAGATAGGTGAGAGACAAAGGCTGCATTCTTTGGGTTTCTGATTAGTCTTTCCAAAGGAGACAACTAGATATGCATTTATCTTAGTGAGCAGAGAGATAACTGAATAGAATGGGAGACAGGTTTGCCCTAAGCAGTTTCCACCTTGAGTTTTTCTTTCAGTTTAGTCATTTTGGGGGCCCAAGATATTTTCCTTTCATGCCCTACAGAGAACATGGCTCTGTTTGAAGCATCTTACAGTGTAGCACATATTCACATTTAAATATTTGGAGCTACTTATACGAGAAAATTCCAGCTTAGACCAATCATTAGACTCAACATTTTTAAAGTAATAAGACCTATAGTACATCTGGAAGAAACATGAAGACTCACATAAGGTCTGGGTTTTAACACTTGTGAGACAAGTGAATAGCTGTGTAGTCTTGGCCATACCTTGAAACTTCACTAAGTATCAATTTCTTTCTGTTAAACAATGATTCATTCGCGGCAGATCTTTTAAAATTGTCTTTAGGATTATATGAAATAAAACATTAAAAATGGTTTTTTACACTTTTTTTGGTAGCTTGGAGGTAGCCAAATAGAGCCTGTTAAATGAAATCTAAAGCAGAAGTACTTAAAATGAACAAAAGCAGGAGATTGTGCCAAAATAAAAATTTAACATTCCTTAAAATGTTTATTTTTCATCATGAAATTTTAAATACAAGCTGCATTTCTACAATGCTCAATTTACCAACCACTTTAGGAGATTCTGTTTAACTGGAAGAAGTTTGACAAATTTGGTGGCCTTGTGGTATATGGATATTTTAACAAAAAGATCAACAGATCATCCAGGTACCTTTGACTCTAGAGGGATATAACACTTTTAGGTGGAAACCTACAATATACTTGGACATCTGCATAATGACTAAAATTAGCATAGGTTTACATAGTACACAACTTCATTAGAATTTTGATGCCTTGGAAAGGAACAGAAGGTTTGTAAATTTCCTAAGGGAAAGTCTCTCGAGAGCGTGAAGGCCTTAAACAAAATCAGCCCAATGTGAGAGGCATGTTGTGAATGGCTGAAAGGACATAAATAGAGTTCATCAAGCAATAAATGTATTGCCTTTTTCAAAAAAAAAAAAAAAGTGACCCACTTCTGTAATACAAGCACTCTTACCATACTAGGGACACAAATATCAGGTGGCCTCTCTGTTCTGCTTGTTGAGAAGTGATGCAGAATAAGCCTGCTCACTCAGTATATATGGCCATATATTTTTCATATAAACACTTGTGTGAAAAAGAGGAGGAAATTAGGGAAAAAAGGAGAAAACAAGAATGGGAGAATAGGGAAGGTAGAGTAGAAAAGAAGGATTAGAGATGAGTGGACAAAAAAAAAAAGAAAAACAGTACGGAATCTGCTTTATTTTTATAGTTAGCAGTCATAAGGATGTGGGTCTAAAAGATTCTGGACTATAAACTGCTAAGAGGTAGTTTACTCCATGATATGGTTTGGCTCTGTGTCCCTACCAAAATCTCTTATTGAATTGTAATTCCCAATGTTGGGGGAGGGACCTGGTAGAAGGTGATTTGATCATGGGTGTGGATTTTCCCCTTTCTGTTCTCATGACAGTGAGTGAGTTCTCATGAAATCTGATGGTTTAAAAGTGTATGACGATTTCCTCTTCGCTCTATCTCTTCCTCCTTCTGCCATGTAAGACTTGCCTAGCTTCCCCTCCACCTTCCACAATGATGGTAAGTTTCCTGAGGTCTCCCAAGCCATGCAGAACTGTGAGTCAATTAAACATCCTTTGTCTTTTCCAGTTTCAGATAAGTCTTTATAGCAGTGTGAGAATAGACTAATACACTCTGCCAGAGATTTTGAGATCTGCCAAATTTTCAGCCACACTCTTCACGTGGGAATAATAAGAAATGATTCTTTTCCTCCTGTTGTGCCAGTGGTGGGATCTTCTACCTGAATTTGTGAGCAAAGTGCAAAGCTGTCCAGGACAGTGGGTTTCTGTAGAGGTCTTCAAACTTCAGAGGCAACAGTACAATATAGCAAAGTGGTTTGCAAAACTTTTACCACCAAGATCTCTTCTAGTATTTTCCTTCTGTTATGTGAACCCAATATTATTTTTCCTACTGAACAGAGCCCATAGACTTAATAATAGCATGTTTGCCATATTTTTATTTATTAACCAGATAAATTATTCCCTTGTTCTTCCAGGTTGATATTAAACACATGGTTACCTCCTTGAGTTTACTTCAATCAGCCACAATGGCACTTGATCATTCAAATAGCCTTTGTGTTATTATGAATGATGACAGTCACTGCCTTTTTGAAATATTGAAATCAACACATGGTATTACTTAAGTATGAGATTAATACACATGCAAAATTATATTAAAGTAGATGTGAAAATGAATTCAGATAAATCTTCAGATCAGCTAAATGAATAAATAACTAGGTAAATGAAGTTGAAAAGGGACCCTATATTAGTGTGTTCTCACAATGTTATGAAGAAGTACCTGAGACTGGTTAATTTATAAAGAAAAGAGGTTTAATTGACTCACATTTCTGCATGGCTGGGGAGGCCTCAGGAAACTTACAATCATAGTGAAATGAACCTCTTCACAGGGCAGCAGGAGAGAGAATGAGTGACAACAGTGGAAATGCCAGACACTTAAAAAACCATCAGATCTTGTGAGAACTCACTCACCCTCAAGAGAATGGCATGGGGGAAACCACCACCATGATTCAATTATCTCCACCTGGTCCTGTCTTTGACACGTGGGTATTATGGGGATTATAATTCAAGGTGAGATTTGGGTGGGAACACAGAGCCAAACAATATCACTCCCTCCTGACCCCTCCAAAATCTCATGGCCTCAACTTAAGAAACAATAATGCCCTTCCAACAGTCCCCCAAAGTCTTAATTCGGTATTAACCCAAAAGTCAAAGTTCAAAGTCTCATCTGAGACAAAGCAAGTCCCTTCTGCCTATGATCCTGTAAAATCAAAAGCAAGTTAATCACTTCCTAGATACAATGGGAGTCCAGGCATTGAGTAAATACACCCATTCAAAATGGGAGAAATTGGCCAAAACAAAGGGGCTGTAGGTCCCATGCAAGTCCAAAATCCAACAGGGCAGGAATTAAACCTTAAACTTCCAAAATGAGCTCCTTTGACTCAATTTCTCACATTCAGGGCACACTGATGCAAGAAGTGAGCTCTCATGGCCTTGGGCAGCTCTGCACCTGTGGCTTTGCAGGGAATAGCAGCCCTCCCAGCCTCTTTCATGGGCTAGGATTGAGTGTCTGTGGCTTTTCCCAGCACACAGTGCAAAATGTCAGTGGATCTACCATTCTGGGGTCTGGAGGATGGTGGCCCTCTTCTCACAGCTCCACTAGGCAGTACACCAGCGGGGACTCTGTGTGGGAGTTCCAATCCCACATTTCCCATCCACACTGCCCTAGCAGTGGTTCTCTATGAGGGCTATGCCCCTCAGCAAACTTGTCTCTGGACATGCAGGCATTTCCATACATCCTCTGAAATTTAGGTGGAGGTTCCCCAACCTCAATTCTTCTGTGCACCCTCAGGATCAATACCACAGGAAAGCTGACAAGTCTTGGGGCCTGCATCCTTTGAAGCAATGGCCTGAGCTGTACCTTGGCCCAATTTAAAAATGTTCAGCTGGAATGCAGGACACCAAGTCCCAGGGCTGCAAAAAACAGCAAGGTCCTGGGCCCTGGCCCATGAAACCAGTTTTTTCTTCTAGGCTTCTTGGCCTGTGATGGGTGGGGCTGCCATGAAGACCTCTGACATGCCCTGGAGATATTTTCCCCATTTTCTTGGTGATTAGTATTTGGCTCCTCATTACTTATGCAAATTTCTGTGGTGAGCTTGAATTTCTCCTCAGAAAATGAGGTTTTCTTTTCTATCGCATCATCAGGCTGCAAATTTTCCAAACTTTTATGTTCTGCTTTCTTTTTAAACATAAGTTTCAATTCCAAACCATATCTTTGTGAATGCATAAAACTGAATAGCTTCTAAGAGAACCCAAGTTACCTCTTGAATGCTTTGTTGCTTAGAAATTTCTTCTGCCAGATACCCTAAATCATCTCTCTCAAGTTCAAAGTTCCACAGATCTCCAGGGCTGGGACAAAATGCCATCAGTCTATTTGCTAAAGCATAGCAAGAGTGACCTTTACCACAGTTCCCAACAAGTTCCTCATCTCCATTTGAGACCACCTCAACCTGGTCTTCATTGTCCATATCACTATCAGAATTTTGGTCAAAGTCATTCAACAAGTGTCTAGGAAGTTCCAAACTTTCCCACACTTTTCTGTCTTATTCTAAGCCCTCCAAACTGTTCCAACTTCTGCCTGTTACCCAATTCCAAAGTCACTTCCATATTTTCAGGTATCTTTATATCAGCACCGAACTCCTGGTACCAACTAACTATATTAGTACATTCTCAGCCTGCTATGAAGAACTGCCTGAGGCTGAGTAATTTATTTATAACAGAAGTTTAATTGACTCACAGTTCTTCTTAGATGGGAAAGCCTCATGACACTTACAATCATGGCAGAAGGCACCGCTTCACAGGGTGGCTGGAGAGAGAATGAGATGCTTATAAAACCATCAAATCTCATGAGAATTTACTCACTAGCATGAGAACAGCAGGGGGAAACTGTCCCCATGATTCAATTACCTCCACCTGGTCCCACTCTTGACATGTGGGGATTATGGGGATTATAATCAAGGTGATTTGGGCAGAGACACAGAGTCAAACCATATCAGAGCCCTTGGGGCCTCCTGAAAATCTTAAAAGAAGTTTAAGAATTTTTTTCTCTCTTTTCTCACTGATTCTGATATGTGGTCCATTCTCCTTCCTCACTGTCTCAGATAAGTAGAAAGATGCAGTAGAAGGTAGAAGCAATTGTTGGAGCATCCAGCCCTGCTCCTAGCTGGACGTGAGATTTTAGGGAGCTACTCTGTATCCCATGAACTCTTGTTTTCCATCTATTAAATGAAGACATTGGGTTGTGTGATCCTGCTATCTCTTCCTATTCTTTAGTGCTGTTACATTTTTTAAACACTACTTTCTCTGAGCCTCATTTTTCTTGTCTATAGAAATGGGAAGAATGTCTACCTCATAAGGTGACTTGAAGAATTAGAAGATAATAATCAAGTATCTCTTCCTATACAAGTCTATTTCCTTCCTGAATTTAGTTAGCAAGAGTTCACAGAGCAAGTTGAGATAAAGAGTATAACACTGTTTGAATCTATTTGAGTTCAATATTTTATATAGCAAGTGAATTTGGGGTAGTAAGTATTCATTAAATGTTTTTAGATCCTAGATATCTATGAAAAGCAGCTTACATGCAAGGCAACCCTCACTAAAGATTTATTCTTGTTTCCTTGACCCTGAGGCTTAAGACAACCTTGTTCAGCTTGCAGCCGTGGCATCTAGCATAGTACCTAACAGTCAGGAGGTGCACGGTGGATGTTTGTGGCTTTCAGGAAAGTAATGAGACCCTGCTAAGCCTTTTCTGTAAAATATTCAATAATATCTATCCCCAATTGAGTTTTTGTAAAGAATGGTCAAAAGATCAAATTCAAAAAAGTTAAAATCACAACTCTCATACAGATACAAAATGAACAGACATTAAAGACTTTTCATAGCTCATTTATCAATGACAGAACCACAGTATTATAGCCACTTCAAAGGAAAATCCAAAATAAAGACACGCATAAATAAGAAATATTGAAATGGATACATAAATGCAAGCAAAACTAGCTTCTTCCACAGTGGAGAAGGAAGTCAAATGAACCACACTATTGAACAGAAAAAAATTGCCTACAGAGGAAAATGATTTTGCATTTCTAGCAGTTATTTACAATTTGCAGAGTTGTAAATTCTGTAGATTTCTTCCATGGAATCACCTTCTGATAAGCAGAAGGGTGTGCTAAACGTATAGTTTTCCATTGATGCACTAATTTTTCCCTAGTGAATAAATTAGACAATGCATGGAAATCGCTTAACTGGTACCTAGCTTATAGAGGATCTCCAATAGATGGATACTTTATTAAATTTTAAAAGTGGCATATGACAGTGGTAGATTAAGTGTCTTCTAGTATTTCATAAATTGAACAAGAATTGGACAATCACTTATTCTACTTTCCAACCTTGGTATTCATTCTCCCATGTAATTCAGGACTTTTTTCTGTCTCTTTCTCTCTCTCTCTCCTCTCCCCCACCCCCATCTCTTTTTAATTAGTTCTACTATGTTTTCTTACTATGTACCAGGAAGGATCAGCAAATTGATGAACGTGTTAAGACACTTCCCTCTAGACTTACACATTATCCTAAATATTCCTCTAATAAAACAGAATGACACTGATCAAAACTAAGTCTGAGAAAAAATTTACAAAGACTTTATTCATAAACTTGTGGCAAGGGGATACCTCTGCTATATCTTTCATTTAAGCAAAGTTTCCAAAGTGTTAGGAAGAGGAGTAAATTTTAGGGTGTAAAATGCAAAAATAGTCAGACTTACCTGACTGGCAAATGTTCTATTAAGATGGGATTTTGGAAACTAGAGAGGCTTTCTAAATGGTACATTTTACAAGTATTTGTTGGCTACAAGGGGGCACTTGTGCAGTTTAGGGATGTTTCAAATGAGAGAAGTTTAATGTGAGAGGCAGAGGGTTTTCTGTGGCTGGCTATTTTTGGGAACAAGAGGGCATTAATGGGTGGTTTGTCATGTCATAATGATTCTTATGGGCTGGCCAAAGAGAACTACCATGGCTGAGAGTTTCTTAATAAAAACAAGTTAATATAAGAGAGTGTTAAATTAAATAAGTAATATAGTTCAGATGCACAGGAAGTTATTTTTGTTAAACTTAGTTAAAAGAGTACTGTGAATTCTAAATAGATGTGCAATTTCAGGCCAAAACAAGTGTAATGGAGAAAAAAATTATGTGATGTCAAATAACAAAATTTCAACAATTTGGGTTTGACAATCTAATTGACTTTTATTAATTATTCATGAATTGGGCAGCATCTCATCTATAAAAATAGGAATGCATTTCATTGGATATAGCAGAACATTCAGTTTTTGAAAGGTAGCTTGAGCAGAAACAAGGAAACAGCATATACATAAAAGAAGATTGGTTACTGTCAGGTTACTTTCCTTGTTAGGAAAGTAAAGACAGTTATCATGCTGGGTCAGGATGACTGGCCCTTTTTCAGATGGTTTATGTGAATCTCTTGTTATTTTGGAAAAAAGAAAAAGGACTGTTTGGAAATTTTCCTGTTTTTTAAAGTATCACTTCGTCTTCATGACACTTAACATGAGTGGCTCCATTTTGCTTTGGTCTACTGGGGCCTATTGCAGGAGTTTAGTCCAAAACAACAGCCTTCTACAAATTTTATTTAATACTCGTTAAGGTGTTTCATCATAATTAGGATATACTGTGACAGGAAATTCATTATCTATTTTTTTTGGAATTCTTCATTAGCCTAGTGCCAAAATAACTCTTTTCATTTGTCTTAGGCCAGATTTAACACAAAAAATATTTTGACATTAATTATTTAAACAAAACAAAGCAATAATCAATGGTCTTCCCCATCATCTGACTAAAACAAGAGAATATGGTATTCAGTTTAAATGGACTTATTATCTAACTTCCCCTATTTATAAGTCTTTGCTTTACAATTTGTTGTGGGAAGTCAGGGACCCTGAATGGAGGGACTGGCTGGAGCTGTGGCAGAGGAACATAAATTGTGAAGATTTCATTTTAATATGGACATATATCAGTTCCCAAATAATACTTTTATAATTTCTTACTCCTGTCTTTACTTCAATCTCTGAACATAAATTGTGAAGATTTCATTTTAATATTGACATTTATCAGTTCCCAAAATTAATACTTTTATAATTTTTTATGCCTGTCTTTACTTTACTCTCTTAATCCTGTTATCTTCATAAACTGAGAATGTATGTCACCTCAGGACCACTACTGTGTTAACTGTACAAATTGATTGTAAAACATGTGTGTTTCAACAATATGAAATCAGTGTACCTTGAAAAAGAACAGAATGACAGTGATTTTCAGGGAACAAGGGGAGACAACCATATGGTCTGACTGCCTGCGGGGTCGGGCAGAATAGAGCCATATTTTTCTTCTTGCAGAGAGCCTATACATGGATGTGCAAGTAGGGAAGATATTGCTAAATTCTTTTCCTAGCAAGGAATATTAATAATTAAGACCCTGGGAAAGGAATGCATTCTTGGGGGGAGGTCTATAAACGGCCGCTCTGGGAGTGTCTGTCTTATGTGGTTGAGATAAGGACTACTGAAATACGCCCTGGTCTCCTGCAGTACCCTCAGGCTTACTAGGATTGGGAAATTCCAGCCTGGTAAATTTTTGGTCAGACCAGTTCTCTGCTCTTGAACCCTGTCTTCTGTTGTTTAAGATGTTTATCAAGACAATACATGCACAGCTGAACACAGACCTTTATCAGTAGTTTTGTTTTGCCTTTTGTCCTGTTTCCTCAGAAACATGTGATCTTTGTTCTCCTTTTTGCCCTTTGAAGCCTGTGATCTTTGTGACCTACTTCCCTTTTGTACACCCCTCCCCTTTTGAAACCCTTAATTAAAACCTGCTGGTTTTGTGACTCAGGTGGGCATCACGGTGCTACCGATATGTGAGGTCACCCCCGGAGGCCCAGGTGTGAAATTCCTCTCTTTGTACTCTTTCTCTTTATTTCTCAGCTGGCTGACACTTATGGGAAATAGAAAGAACCTACGCTGAAATATTGGGAGTGGGTTCTCCCGATTACAATTTGAAAAATGAGGCTAACAAAAGCATCTGCTAGACAGTGTGGATAGCAAGATCTTAAGAAATATTACTGTGCTGACTGAATAAAATAATACATGTAAAAGCAATTCACATAGCCCAGGCCCATGGTAACATCTCAGATGTTAAATTCCTTTCCACCTTCTTACCTCATGAAGTAACAAGCAAATTTTAATTAAAACTATTATATTGAGTCTCTAATCAATAAACTTTTATTTAGCCTTTACCAGTCACCTGGAGATCTACTACTAGGTGTAACTGTATTTACAAAATGACCATAACATTTGATATAGTTTTTAAAAGAGAAAATATTTTTCCCATTACTTTCTATCATACAAAAAATAAAAATGGTCAATGTGTGTGTGTGTTTTTTAATTTTTTTTTAGTGTGAGCTCTAGGTGTTAAAATCTACCAGCATTTATTGACCATTAAATAATCCTAATTATATCTTTTTCTTCTATTTTATGTAGGAGTTACTGGAAAAGCAAGAATAACTTATGCGGATTAACAATATGGAAACATCCTGAGACTACTTTGGAATCGCCATAAATTAAGTGGGTTCCAGTTTTGCAAACAGAGAAACGGGTCCATGAACAATTTGCTACAGGTAAGTGAGAGGTATAATTTTTTCCATTAGAATCCTTCAAAGATTCATTGACTATGGGGTTGTTAATTACATTTCAGATCATTATAATTCTCCTTTGGTACAGCTGACAGCTTCTTTTCCCTCCCGAATGTACACATGTGGATGCCAGCATATGGCTAAATGTCTGGCCATTTCATCTTGTTCATTTGGGCTTCAGTCAGTTACAAAAGGAGAAAGCAGGGGGAAAAAGTTGCCACCTCATAAAACTTTTACCAGTAGTGATTTATGCAGAAGGGTAGGGGTCAAACTGTTTCTCAAACAGATGTTTCTGAGCGCTACCCCAGGAGTTGAAAGAGTGGCAGATTGTCCTTCTTGGGATTCAGAATGAAACAGGCAGGCAAATGGTGATGCCCCAGCTCCTTTTCTTTGAAACTGGGGCAGTGGTTCAATCATTAATATGGAACAAAGTGTTTGGGAATGGTAGCTGGCTTTCGATTCTCTCTTTGAAAACCTGGGGAGATCGGAAAGCTTTATGTGGTGACAGCATGAAAATATTTTCTGTTGGGCTATTGGAAAAGTTGTACTTGTCTGAATGAACCAGTGGGGAAGAATGAAAGTCTAAGTGACTCAAAACAAGTGGCAGTTTGTAAGCTGGAGGATTGGGTTGTGGCATCCTCTGTAGTTAATAATTGTTATACCATCAAGAGTCAAGGGGACTCACACCTAGAAATAGAAGCCATCAGCTCTGCAAAACTGAAACAATCTCTTTTTTCATTTGTGGGGTTTCACTGTGTTAAGGAAAAAAAAAGATCAAATTATAGTGACATTAAGCACCATTGTAGAGGAGAAGTTTGTACTTTCCCTTTTACTGGCAAATACTTGAATTATTTTTGCTGCTTTAAGGCATAAGTAGAAATGTTGTAAGTGGACTGGAAATGAAGGTAGAAGGTATTGCTCATGCATTTTCCTATTAATATTTAGCTCTCTCTCAGTTGCATTTATAACAGCTGTCTGTCCTGCATTCATAACTCATGATCCTCCCAAAAGATAACCCTTTCTTTACACATTATGTAGATTAAGCTGAATGGAAGATATGTTAATCTATCTTCAGAGATATCACTTTGTTTGGAGAGTCACATAAGAACCTAGCTATGGAGGTGTTTGCAAGTGTGAAGTGCTCTCTAAAGATGAGGAAGCAATGGTGAGGTAAACACAGCCACTCAATAGAAATATCAACCAAAAAGAGAGAGAAGACTTGGCCAGGCACAGTGGCTCACACCTGTAATCCCAGCATTTTGGGAGGCCGAGGTGGGCGGATCATGAGGTCAGGAGATCGAGACCATCCTGGCTAACACGGTGAAACCTCATCTCTACTGAAAATACGAAAAATTAGCTGGGCGCGGTGGTGGGCGCCTGTAGTCCCAGCTACTCGGGAGGCTGAGGCAGGAGAATGGCGTGAACCCGGAGGGCGGAGCTTGCAGTGAGCCGAGATAGTGCCACTGCAGTCCGGCCTGGGCGGCAGAGCAAGAGTCCGTCTCCAAAAAAGAGAGAGAGAGAAGATTTGAATCTTTCTTTTTGAAAGCATATGTAATTGTCTTTTTTTCCTTGCCGTCAAACTTGGTCTTTCTATTTATACACAGGGAAGGATGTTGTTTCCTTAGGCTCTTTTGTTTATTGAGAAAAAAGGCTCATTTAGGTGACCCATGTAAAAAGGGAATTTTTCTGGCAACATGTGTGGGCTGGAACTGAAACCAAATTAAGAAACAAGAATAAAAAAGGCAGTTCTAGAAGCTTCTTATATGCTTGTGTCATTCTTATGAGCAACAGGAGCTTTAAACTTTTTGCAACTCTACTTCTCCCTGAATGTCTATTCATTTCTGTTCTTTTTTGTTTCTGATTATTTTTCTTAGCCTTTTACTAATTGTTCCTCTTAAAATTTTGCCTTGCACATAGCCTATCATGGCCTCTGCAGCTGCTTTCCCTTTAACAGCTTCAGCTCCTGCTGCTAATGACCTGTGTGAATCAGGTTACATTCAGGAAACAGAAACCACACCATTTATTTCAATAGGCAGAATTATCAAAGAATGGTTAGCCAGTTATTGGCGAATAATAAAGGCAAAAAAAAAAAAAACACTGAGGAATCATAAAGGTAGTAATTACAGGAAGTGGATATCCTGGATGCAGGGACAAAAGTAAGAGTCAGAGATTATTAGAATTTAGAATACTGGAGGAGGGGCTTTGAAGAAAAGGAATACAGGAGTCTTGGGTGAGGGTGTCCCCCGAAAAATAGAGGGACTTTAGAAGCTCAGCAAGGACTCCACAGAGCTAAGAACCTTTCCTTTAAGGAGAGGCTGCCAGCTGGGGCTGTACCCCAGAAACTCAGATTGGGGTACCCACGGAGCTGGGATGCAGAATTTTGTGGGGGATGGTACTCAGCCAGTGTTACAGCCTGAAAACTAGAAAGGAATCCACAGGCAAAGCTGGAATCACATTTCTGAGGATGGGGTACCAGCCAGCTAGTGCTGTTTTATCACTAGGAAAGAGTGCGATTAGGTTTTTTTCTTCCTGAATTGTAGAAAAATGTATAAAATAGAACCAACTGCTTTGCAGTGGCTACTGGAATAAACAGGGCGACATTGTCAGAAGCAGGAAGCACTTTCTACTTCCCTCTCAAGCTTCTATTCTCCCTCTGTATCCCTGTATTGGCAAACAGGGAGCCAGGTGGCAAAGGAAAATATATGCTTTGCACTGACCGAGACCCAGCATCTCAAAGCAAGAGGAGGGTGGACTTGAACTGAGAGATTGTAATTTAATAAAAAGCACACAGCCTGTTCTGTGTGTGTTTATGTTTGTGTGTGTCTGTGTGTTTAAATTTTCAAAAGAGAGAATATGATTGGCTCAATTCACCTGATCACTGAGATCATAGCATATGACTTAATTAAAATTTGCTTGACTTTTGGTCAAGTGCCATTCCTGATTTAGTCAGGTGGCATTAGATTGAGGTTTATGTCAGAATTCTATAGAAAACATGGCCACTTAGGTATCAGGGCTATAAACTGAATGGTATTCCTTAAAATCAACTAAGGACATTCATATGATTGCCGTGCAGTAGAGATACAAATATGTAGATGTCATATTGCTGATGACTGAATTTTTAATTCAACTTTTTAGTTTTTAAATAATTGTACATTCACATGTAGTTGTAAAAAAAAAAAACACAGAGATCCCGAGTGCCTGTTCCCCCTTTATACCCAATGACAATATCTTGCAAAACTACATAGTACAATACTATAACCAGAGTATTGATATTACTACGGTCAAAATACACGTCATTTCTATCACCACAAGGGACCCTCCTGTTGCCCTTTTCATAGCCACATCCACTTCGTTCCTATCTCTAACTTCCCCCTTAAACACTGACAACTTCTAATCTGTTCTCTATTTCCGTAACTTTGTCATTACAAGAATGTTATTTAAATGTAATCACACAGTATGTGGCTTATGGGCATTGGCTGTTTTCACTCAGTATAATTCTCTGAAGATTAATCCAGGTCATTAATAGTTCATTTTTTTCTATTGAGTAATATTTCTTGGTAAGCATATACCACAGTTTGTTTAATTATTTACCTGTTGAAGGATGTCTTGGTTGCTTCTAGTTTGGGGCTATTATAAAGAAATTCACTATAGGTATTCATGTACAGACATTTTGTAAATATAAGTTTTTATTTTGAGGGAAAAAATGGCCAGACAAACAATTGCTGGGTTGTATGGTAGTTGCATAATTAGTTTTTAAAATTAACTGCTGAAGAGTTTTCCAGAGTAACTGTAACTTTTTACATTCCTGTCCTTGTCCTCTCATCCTCTTAATCCTTTTACAGAACAAAAGATTTTAATTTTGATGAAGTCCCATTTATCAGTTTTGCGCTTTACGGCCATGCTATTAGTTTCCAGTCTAAGAACTCTTTGCCTAGTTCTAGACTCCAAAGTTTATCTTCTTTATTTTTTTCCCAAAAGTTTTATAGTTTTATTTATTAGTTATAAGTGCATAATCCATTTTGAATTAATTTTTATAAGGTATGAAACTGAAGTCAAATTTTATTTTATTGTCTATGGCATTTGCTGGGTGTCCATTTGCTCTCCTTGATATTAGCATCTAATGTTTTTTTTCCATTTCATTTTAAATCTCCCTGATTGTTGGTAGAATACGTAGTTTGCAGTTGAAACCTAGACATTTTGAGTATGATATTATGAGATTCTGGATATTGTTTAAACCTTCTGTTTTGGTTGGCTTTCTCCAATATTGCTCTAGTAGGGGAAGTGGGAGTAGAATTAATGGCAGTTGGAGGTAGAAGCTCATGTTTTTTCACCTGTCCTTTGCTTATATATGAGTGGGCAGGGGCTCTTTATTACCACTGGCATGGACAGGACTTCCAGCTCCCATTAGACTTCCATTGATACCTCCCTGGCTGGGAGGAATAGGAATGACTTGTAACTATTACCAACTTGTTCACCACTGACACCGTGCTGGTGGACGGCAGGGGGGTTGGGTATTGGTGTCATTATTCCTGGGTGGTGGTGAAAGTCCTGACTCTCCTCTAAGCCTAGTTTGACACCATCCCAACATATAGGGATGGTAGGGGTAGAAGTTCAGGATCCCTATGTTATCTCCACTGATGATACAAAGGGTGGAGGGTGGCCTGGTTACTGCCTGGCAGGGATGAATGTCCTGGCTTCTGTGTGATCTTCTTTGACGCTACCCTGATGGAAATTGGGGGGACCTTGTCATAGCCGGGTGAAGGTAGAAATGTAGATTATTCATTAGGGCATTGATGGCCTAGGTGAGGATAAGGCCATACATTTTTCTCTTATGTATGGGTGGATGAAAGTGTTAATTGCCTCAAATTTTTCTGTCTTATTAAATTGCTCTATCCTTGTCCTTTGGCCAGAAAGAGTCAAATGTTTTTTCTCTGTGTGTGTGTGTATATATATGTACCTATTGCCATTTCTGGGTTTCTGATCTCTTCAGCTCCAAATCTGGGAAATATGGAGCCAAAACAAAAACCCAGGAACTCACCACCATGTCATTACTTGGATTCAGAGCTTTTTGTATGGTCTTCCTTCTTCACTCTACTTTTCAAGATCCTCTTAAGCATTTTTCCAATATAATATCTGGGATTTGTGGTTGCCTTTAATGGGATAAATAGGAAGGAAAAAAGTTCTATTTTATCCTTCTGTAAGTGGAAGTCCCTTGGAAGCATTTTTGTAGATATTTTGATGGTTCTTTTTTGATGTCTAAAATGTTAACATAATAATCAAGGTGGAACTATGAATTTACAAAAAGAAAAAATAACTCTACTAAGTTTATTTCCTGTCAGAGTAGGAATACATGCAAAACCATCTTAAAGAGATAATTGCCTTAGATAGTCGGAGCTTGCAAATAATTGTTGAATGAAAGAATAATTATTAAATGAATTCATTTAACAAATTGATCTGTGTGTTAAATGTTCTAGGTGCTGAGGGGACCATAAATATGTATGATACAGAAATAATTATCAAATAATACAGGGCCATTAACAGTGATAAAATAGATCAACATAGCTATAACATACAAGGTAAAAGTTATATTTCATCTCTCAGAGCAAGGCAGTGTCTTGTTCATCTTTGTCTGCTGCTAGTGCCTAATGTAGTACATTAGTCATCACACATGGCTTGCTATGGGAGTTAACAGAGGGAGAGAGATCACATTCAGCTGATGGGAAGTAATCTGTTTTATGTCTTCCAAAACTTCTACAGAAAAGGAATTCTTTAACATTTCTAGATACAATATGTCACATTTCCTATTTCTTTATTCTTTATCAAGTTAGCGAATTATTTCTGTAAAATCTTATCTCTACAAATGAACTCAAGTGATTACTGTAGCAGCAGAAGAAAGACAAACATCATTCTTTACACATATACTTGTATATATTTTAAATTAAATGCCTTAAATCACACACTCTCTTGCCCCAACTGTCAAGTGCAATAGCTTCATATTATACCATATAGAGAGACTGGTAGTCTTTGGGTCAAATGTCAATCCCACCCACCCATGACACACAAGCAAAAACAAAATGATTACAATGAGTTAAAAAAAAAAAAAAAGCAGCCTGTGGTGACAAGATTTGACATGGCTGTCCTTGAAAATGAGCATTAATTTTAACCTGAAACATCACCCAAGGAAGGGCTCTGAATTTTGTCAATTTATGATAAAGTCTATGAAACTGCGGAATCACATAAACAATGACTTTCCAGGTACCTAAGGAAATAACTATTCGCAAATATAAAAACGCCTTGACAGGAAAGTCAGAGTCACAGCTAACAAACTCTCCAGCACTTCACTCTTGGACCAGGGATGCCGGAGGCAAACCAGCAAGAACCCTGATGGAGAGCAAGCAATAATGCTGATGCTACAAACCCTGATGAAGCAAAAGTAAGCCATGTTTAATGCAAGGCAAGGGGATTGCTGAGAAAGCAGGAGAGGTCTCTGCTCATAACAGGCAAAGAAAAAAAGACCTCTTTCTGACCTACATTATAAACTCTTCGCATCAACTTTGACTTTGTATATTTGATAAGGCAATGTATTCTTAGGGGGCTTCCTAATAGTGAATATTCACAAGATTAATAATAATAGTAAAATTCTGATCTTTATTCCGTTGGCTTGCTCTTTGAGTGAAAAGCTTTTCATGAGTGCCTAGAGCTATAAAATAAATAGAAAGAGTGGGGTTTGAAGAAGGATGATTTTTACTTTACACTTAAATTTATATTTACAAGCAATTTTCAGTGGTGAATAAGAATGGCACATTAAAATAGGTCAAATATATTTATTCTTGTACACTTCATTTTATAGAAATTCACTTTGATAGGTTCCCTATATAGAAAATTAGGCTTAGAACTCTAAACTTAAAACGCCCAACATTTGGAATATTGTGGAAGTAATTTTATCTGCCTTAAACTTTGTAGTTGCCACAAATGGAAATATTCAGAGTGCTATATAGTACTCAATATAAACAATAGTCTATATTAACTGAAGACTATCCTATTATGTGGGCTTGGAGATGCACAAGTTTATTAGGTTTTTTTAAATTTACTTTTTTTTTTTTTTTTTTTTGAGATGGACTCTCGCTCTGTAGCGCGGGCTGGAGTGCAGTGGCGCAATCTAGGCTCACTGCAAGCTCCGCCTCCCAGGTTCACGCCATTCTTCTGCCTCAGCCTCCGGAGTAGCTGGGACTACAGGCGCCCGCCACCACGCCCGGCTGATTTTTTGTATTTTTAGTAGAGAGGGGTTTTCACCGTGTTATCCAAGATAGTCTCTCGATCTCCTGACCTCGTGATCCGCCCACCTTGGCCTTCCAAAGTGCTGGGATTACAGGCGTGAGCCATGGCGCCTGGCCAAATTTGCCATGTATTCTTACAATGTATTTTTGAATCTAATTGTATTCTATTCAGAATCAAAATATCATTTAAAAATATATATTGGTATTATGAAACAAAATAAGTTTATTATTAGAAACTTAGAAATAAAAAACAATTTTTTGGTTAGGAGGAGAGATTCCTATTGTTATAACCTATTTAAAATATTAGGGGTTTGTTTCATCCTTTTTAAAAAAAAATATATAGAAAACGTATAGTTTATATTTGTTTCTCTAGGTATTTGAAAAGCTTCACCCCTTGAAGAAAAAAATATTGCACCTCTTTAAAAAGGACCTAACATGATAAAGGCAATAGTTCATGAGAAAAGACAAATCTAAAAATTTGTATTTCAGAATATTTCTTCCGTCAGCGCAGTAAGACAAAATAGGATAGAAATAAAAGGACTTGTATAAGTTAGTTCAAAGATAAAAAGCCCATGAGAAATATCTTAACACAATATTTATTTTATTTTCAAAGCTAAGCTAGAAATATAAAAGCTAATAAAATATTAAAAGTATTAAAAATACGTGTAAAAGAGTGGCAGCCACTATTTATTGTCATCATCCTGAATGTGATTTCACAGTTTTTCTGACTGTGTGATACACGATTTACCCAGTTTTTCTAAGCTACCTTCACATGACCTAGTTAAGGTCTGAGAAGTGATAGGTAGCCAACTGAGAATATATAATCAGAGTGATTGCATCTCCTTGATATATTCCAACTTATCAAACATAATTTCAGAAGTTTCCAGGTGGAGCTGAAGAACCTTTTGAAAAAAAAAAATCAGTCTATGTGAAGGCTCCAATCCTGCTTAATCCACTAGGTGAAACAATCATAACATTGGCCGTGCATCACTTTCCCCTCAACTTTTTCTTATCCGGTGACAAATATGCTGAAAAATCACGGGAATTCATTATGCTTGATTTCTTAGATTTTACATCTTTAACTCCATATTCATGTTGCAAATACAGGGAAATATCGCTGCAGTAAAGCAAAATGTTTCACAGGACACATTTACTGTTCAAGAAACCACACCACAAAGCAGAAATTTTAAGGCAGTAAAACAATTTGAGACAAACTTCTATTCAACCAAATGGCATGCATCTATTACAGAGAGTGACTCCTAAATTGAATGCCTTGCACAAAGAAGGCGCAGCAATAACAAATTGTCGAGCGAATGGGTGTTTATTTCATATACTTGAAAATAACAAGGTAGAACCAATGGTGTACTGAAAAATCAGCTCTGTGAGAACAATTCTGGCTCTAATTTGTAGTATGTGTAATATTTGCATGTTTCTGTGGTGTGACTACTGCCCCTATAGCCATTTCACCCACCAATGTGATGTCACTGAAGTCTGAGTTGGGAAGAGAAGTGTAGAATATTCTCTTACAGGCTGGTGCAGGCCAGTGCAAGGGGGCTTCAGTATTCTACTGGTAAAAGTCTGACTTGCCTTCATTTGATTTGGCAAAAGAAAATTATACCACATGATATTATATTTGCTAATTAGCTGAATTGATTTTGATGGAAACTAGAGAGTTTTTTTTTTTTTCAACAACCTTAACAAAGTGTTACTTTTTGGGGGTAAGATATCTGCAAGATGAAAACTTGTAAGAATTCCTCCCTAGGAATTTTCATACTTTCGATAGGAAATAAAAACCAGGGAAGGCCTTGAGGATTTTCCTGAAGTTGAAAAAGAAATCTCTTTAACAAAGGGCCACCAACTTCGGAGCCTCGGAGCTGTTAAGCCTGCCTTGAAGAATCCATATTCTTGGCCACTGCATGCTCAAAAATTGAATAGGGAACCCCTAGGCAAGGAACTCTTTTAGCAACATCGTATATTAAGTCTTATAATTTACAAAATCCTTCCAATTCCTCATGATGCTAAACTACTTTTGAAGTCAAGAAATGTAGTGCATCAAATAATTAAAAAAAAAAAAAAAAACTCGACCAATTGAAAAAACCATTCATTATGGACCTTCTATGGATTAGACCCTGAGCTGGATGTTGACACATGTATTATTTTATATATTTTAATTAATTCATGTGCCTTCATTCTTTGTGGAAAAAAGTAGAACTTCCTCCATTTAATTAAGATTGAAAATGGCATCCCACAGGTTATTAAAAATATTTTAATAATAGCAATAGCAATCACCATCTGCTTCATGTATACTATGTCCGAGGCATTGTCACATTTATCATTTTAGTTAACATCCTTACAATTATTTCTATTTTATAGATGAGGCAAATAAGATTATGACTAAGAGAGACTTATGCACAAGGTTAAGAGCCAATGAATTACAGAGGAAGAAATGGAACAGAAGTCAGTAATTCTCCAGACACATGCATTGCTTAGCATGTGTTGATTAATTCAGTAATTCCACAAATGTTTATTGAGCACTCCCCATGAGTCAAACACTATTCTTGGCTTTGGAGATATAGCAGAGAACAACACAAATATAAATATCAACCCTCACATACCCATATTTTAGTGGACAGAGATAGTCAATAAGCAAAAAAGTAAAACAAAATAATTTTAAGTAAATATGTTATGTTGAATGGGGGACAAGTTCTACAGAAAAATATAAAGTAGGTAAGGAACAGGTAGTGCTTGCATGGGAGTGCATTGCAATTTTAAATGACAGTCAGGGAAGGAATCATTATGAAGCTGAGAAAGCTAGGAAGGTGAGAAGCTGAGGCATGCAAACATATGGGAGAAAACCTTTCCAGTAGAGGAAACAAGTGGGGAGGCCCTGATGTGGGAGCATGATTTGTGCATTTGAGGAACACAAGGTACTATAGATTAGCCAGTCCTAGAATTAAGGAGTGAAGTCCTGGAGGTGGGAAGAACTGGAATAAGGTGCTAGATCTCCCTGGCTTCTGTGATGTGTATAGACTGAAGGGAGATGAGAGTGGAAGGGAGAACAATTAGCAGACTATTGCTCTAATCCATGTGGAAGATGATAATTTCTTGGACCATGGTGGTAGATGTGAAAGTGGTAAGAACTGGTTGGATTCTATATATATTTTGAGTAGATTTAATGTGTGAGATGATTAAAGACAGGTTGTAAGAAAGAGATTAAGAAGAACTCCAACATGTTTGGTCTGATAAATGGAAGCTTTGAAATTTCATTTACTGAGGTAGAGAGCTCTAAGGAATGAGAGATTTGGAGTGAAAGATAAGGAGGTGGTTGTTAACTGTAGTAAGTTTAAGATGAAGGAGATGCAAAAATAAATAATATCTACTTCAAAGGATAATTAAAAGTTTGAACAAGGTAATCTATATGAAAGCACTCTATAAATATTGTTTATTTCTATACTTAGTTTTAATTCTATACTGTTTTAATTCTATACTTAGTCACTTGATCTTATCGTGTCCAGACTGAAATTTAGAGATTGCCTGCCATAGAATTGGTGGACGTTGAAGCCTGTAGGCAAATTATTTCACATACAAAGGAGGGGGTAATTTTTTTTTAATTAGCTTAAAATATTAGAAGAGGCAGATGTGTGGTAGAGTTGCCCAAGAGAGAAGAAAGCAACAGTAGAAATGAAGAAGATGGTATAAAACTTGGTTTTGCCAAAAGGCACTTTTAAAATGTTCCTAGAGTTAGAAGAGAAACTAAAGAATCTGAGTGCCTGGAAGACTAATTAACCTGGGAGATAAGCCTTGCTGCTCTGGGGGCCCAGATGCTAAAATCAGTTGCAGGGTTAAGGGGGGAATGATCCTCCTACCACAGATGCCAGTGCAATGTTGTCAACTGAAGATCTTGAAGGGCCATCAGAGGAAGATGACTGTGCCTCAGACCGGCATTCTCAGGGTGCTCACTGCCAAGGGAGATGGTAGCATAGCACCTTGCCAAAGAAGACAGAGTGAGTGAACATTTCCTAAGCAATGTGAGATGGGACTGAGATTCCCAGAAATGACTGTGGACATTTTCATGAAGAAAATGAATCTTTGAGTGAGTTAGGAAGGATCTCATGTGGCCAGTCATGAGATCTTATTTCCACTGCCTAGTTGAAGATGCTGTGGTTACATGTTATATACTATATGTTACATGTTGTATACTGTAGCCACCTCTTCAAGAAAGCCTGGTATGCTAGATGGTGACCTGCCCATCTGGAGGCATTTGGGATATTTATGAGAACATTGACAGTTAAATCCTAGTGCCATTTCTCTATCCTGAGCCCACTTGTTGTATATCATTTTGAGCCTTTCTTATGGTATGGGGCTTTAGTTGGTTTTCCTTTACTTTCTGAGATACCATTACCAATGTCTTTGTGCTTATATTTACCCTAAGATAGGGTAGTTTTCCCAGCTCCACTTTTACTTGCTCTTCCTGAAAAAGAGGTTTAGTTCTCTCACTTGGATCTCCCTTACCCATAAACCATACTCCTTAGGCTGAGTGACTTAGACTTCTGACATGCAGTTGTCTTCAATTGCTCCATGTACTCCGTTTCCACAATGGGTAGAGATGTGTTGGAAACTGGCCGCTGAGATAGATGTCCAGTGGGAGAAAACCTCCTTGGCTTCATTCACACAACCTAGATGAGCAGGAAGTGTCCAAGGTGGCTCCTTGCACTTCACCTGGGGCAGGCCCGCCTTAGACCTTAGTTGTCCCAATGTCCGAGAGGCTCGTGTTTTGCTGCTTATCTGGGTCAGAGCACACTGGGCATGAGATCGTGCCCTCCTTTTTATGCAACTTCTTTTTACTTATGTTGTTCCTTCTTCTTGAATTGTTTTTTTCCCTATTTCTGCCTATAAAATTTAGGCTCTTCTGGCCGGGCGCAGTGCCTCACGCCTGTAATCCCAGCACTTTGGGAGGCCGAGGCAGGCGGATCACAAGGTCAGGAGATTGAGACCTTCCTGGCTAACACAGAGAAACCCCGTCTCTACTAAAAATACAAAAAAAAATTAGCCGGGCATGGTGGCGGGCGCCTGTAGTCCCAGCTACTCGGAAGGCTGAGGCAGGAGAATGGCCTGAACCCGGGAGGCGGAGCTTGCAGTGAGCCGAGATCGCGCCACTGCACTCTAGCCTGGGCGACAGAGCGAGACTCCGTCTCAAAAAAAAAAAAAAAAAAAAAAAAAATTTGGTTCTTTTTCAATTTCTGGAGTGAATAGCATCTTTATATAGCTTTTTCTTCTGATTTTCCCCTACTGATTATGAGCTCCTTGAGTTGTCACTGCATTTTGGTAGACATGTCTTGTAGTTTTGTAAACATACTACTGTCTATGTGTCTGTGTGTATGTTCTTTCTGTCCTGTTTGAAGGTGAGCTCCTTTAGCGTGGCTTCAACAATGAGCATCATCTAGCTCTCCAAAGCCTGAGGATCTCTAGAGTGGCTGAGAAATTTAATGAGGTCTATAGGCCAGGACCTTGGGATGTATCTGGAAAAGCTTTAGAAAAATCTTCCTGTAGACAACTAGCTTAATTATAATTGAGATTTAAATTCATTTCAGTAACACACACCCACTTGGGGTACTGGAGGTCGAGGTTGAGAATTCTATGATGGATGACCTGGGTGAAACTAGCATAAGAAAGGGCTGGTAAATATTACCTGGCTGTTAAAGTTATTGCAGCTTGATTTGCTTTGTTATTTTGCCTGGAGGTATAGGAGTGTTGGGAATCTTTTTGTAAGACTGCCTTAGACTATGAGGAAAAGTCTGTAAGTCAAAGAGTAAACATGTTTTGTAATTAGCCATGGACCCTGTTTTTTTTTTTAAATTTCCTAAAGTGAGATCAGATAAATATTAATAAAGAGAATCTAAGTTTTTGCTAGCCAAATATGTAAAAATAAGCCATTTCCTTTTTCCTTTTTTCTTTTTTCACAGACAGTGTCTTGCTCTGTTGCCCAGTCAGGAGAACAATGGCGCTATCATAGCTTATTGTAATTTCAAATCCCTGGACTCAAACAACACCCCCCGCCACCTGCCTTAGCTTCCAAAGTAGCTGAGACTACAGGCATGCACCACTATGTCTGGCTAATTTTTTTTTTTTATTTTCTTATTTTTTGAAGAAATAGGCCGCACTATATTTCCCAAGCTGATCTCTAACTCCCGGGCTCAAGGGATCTTCCTGCCTTGAACTTCCAAAGTACTAGGATTACAGGTGTGAGACACGGTCCCCAGCCAAGCATTTATTTTTAAAGTAAATTATGTCTAAATGTTAGTACGAACATCTTAGTTGTCAGACTTACCAAAAAGTAGCATTTTACTGCACGTGTGACGCTTTCTAGTAATATTCAAATATTTGATTCTGGTAGTTTTTCATAGATCATTTGAGGAAACAATATTTATTTAATGAAATCCGTAAACCCTAAAACCAACTTCCTTTCATCTGTAACAAACTTAAAGATTATTTGACATATATACCACATATATGTGTATATATATATAAATGAGGTTACAGTATCTTTAACTGTGGAAAGCGAAGCTTCTTTAAGCATACTAGCATAAACACCAATTTGTGATCTTTAGTTTGGAGCCTAAGAATTAGGAATCATTATTGAAAGAACCACTTAGTTTATACTGTTTTCCAACAGTTTTCCATCCTTTATTAGTCAGTCTTTTATGCTGAAATATTTAATCTCACACTAATACTTCCATTGGTCCTTAAATACAAACAAAAACAACCCTGGAAGCTAATTGTGAGAAATACATCTTCCAAGTGTGACTACAACCTGTCAATATACCCTGCCCACTATTTTATACTTAATTAAGAGAAGAATGTACATTTACAAGTGTCATTATTTATCAAACTTTGTACCCATTTTATTTAGTCTACAAGTTTTAAATTCAGGAATTCATTTTCACATATATGTATTTCATTTTTATAACTTCATTGATTTTTTGCCTACAAAATACTCACATAAAATACAAATCAAACACTGTAGAAGTATAAATATAAAAAATAAAATTTGTCTATAACTCCATTTCCCTAAAATAATGTACATTATTGGCCTATTTCTGTTACATATTCTCATTCCCATTTTGTAGCTGAGGTAACTGGAGCTTAGAAATATAACCTGGGACTCAGCACGGTGGCTTACCTCTGTAATCCCAGCACTTTGGGAGGCCAAGGTGGATGGGATCACCTGAGGTCAGGAGTTCGAGACCAGCCTGGCCAATATGGTGAAACCCTGTCTCTACTAAAAATACAAAAATTAGCCAGGCGTGGTGGTGGGCACCTGTAATCCCAGCTACTAGGGGGGCTGAGGCAGGAGAATCACTTGAACCTAGGAGGAGGAGGTTGCAGTGAGCCTAGATTGCACCACTGTACTCCAACCTGGGCGATAGAGTGAGACTCTGTCAAAAAAAAAAAAAGAAAGAAAGAAAGAAAGAGAGAGAAAGAAAGAAAGAAAGAAAGAAAGAAAGAAAGAAAGAAAGAAAGAAAAAGAAAACTTGGCTGAGCTAAGATTTAAATCAAGGCCTGTTATTGCAAAGCCCATGTCAGGTATTTGTGTGTGCATGTGTGTGTCTGTGAGTGTATACACATATATATTTCTATTTCTTCACATTCTGTGAACAAAGATGACTTCTCTCTTTGAACTTGATAGTGTTCTATGGACCCTCCCTGATCCAGTATTCATTTGTCTATCCACATATTTATACTACCACTTATTAAATAATAAATGTTAGTAAAACTTAGAAAAATAAAGGATGTAAGAAGAGGAAAAAGGACATAAAATGGTTAAGAAAAAAACCCAAAGTAGCCTTGGCAAAGATAAAGGGATTACATTTTAATTAGGGAAGAAGGAGCTGAGTTTGGATTAAAACAAATTCCCATTCTAAAGTCTGTGCTTTTATCTGCTGCATAACATTTGTTACCTTTGATGAGCTTGTTTATTTGATGTTTCCCTGAAGGTTTTTATTGCTAAAGTATCTTCATTGCTCAGACCCTCCAGAGCCACTGCCCACAGTAGAGAAAAACCAGCAAGCACATACTCACTAAGTGCCACATACCGTCTTGGTCACTGGATTCAAAGATAAATAAGATGAAATACCTGACTTTGTGATGCCTGAGTCCAGTAATGGGAAGCCCTCCATGCCACTTCTCTGTGAGGTTTTGTGAGCGTTCCCTAAGATTACATAAGTGTTTTAATTTCTCTGTACAGTATTTAAAGCTACATTTAAAATGCAGAGTGTCTTCTCATCTATGTCCCCACTTCCTTGTTTCATTTTTGAATTCCTTTCATCTTCATTCTACACGGCTTGAGTTAATTCTGGTATCTCCAAAATACAGATATGCAAAAGCCAATTGAAAGAGAAGCATGCTTGCATGGACAGTGTCAGGGAACTACATCATCAATCTACTTCCTTCTTGACCCCAGCAACTTTTCAGAAGCTTTGATTGAGTTCCGCAAATTACCATCCTGTTCTCTAAATCTTTCTGCGTGTGAGCTTTTTGAGGTGTTCTTTAGGTCAATTCAAGGATATGTCTCCAGTCCCAAAGATGATACAAAATATTTATTTTTGAGTCTGGGCCAGCTTTTTCAAAACAAATACCTAATTTTGAATTCAGCCTTCAATACACGGCTGTATTTTTGTTTAACACAATCCGATTAACAAATATTTTTTGAGGGGCATAAGGTGATAGGAACAGGAAAGTAATTCAAATCAGTAGTTCTGAAGTATAGATCTGGTACTGCTACCTACTAAACCACATAACCTTGGCCAAGTCACTTAGCCTCTCTGAACTTCAGTTTTCCCTGTGATAAAATGATGTTAATAATATCTGCTTCAAGTGAATGTCATAACATTTAGGAAATATTTGGTAAGGATGTTTCATTGATAGTTTTAAGTACAAGTTATGAATTATAATAATTATACTAGCAATTATAATAATATCTGCCAATAAGACCATTACAGAGCTTCTAAAGCTCAAATAAATATAGTGGCACAAATATGCCTTACATGCATGATTTGTAAACAATAGAAGAAAAATATGATCAAATGCTTCTATACTAATTAAACTACTTTGGATCTCAGATAATATTTGCAGAGCGCTATTCCAAGCAACATTTTTTTTTAATTCTACTTTGCCAATGCTATGTTAGTATAGCTTAACATAATACTCAGGCAACCTATCATGTGTCAGGATAGAGTGAAAAGAAATGAAGTAAGATGGTCCACAAACTTTCTGAAGCCTCCCACATATAAATAACTTGATGAAGTATTGGGGTAAAGAGCAACAGAGTCAGAGTTCGCAGGTTAAAGCAATTGCCTTTCCTATTTTGCAGCCATATGTCTGTTACAGTATTGAGCTGTCACATATTGAGACTGTCAGTGTGACATCTTCATCAGTTTCAAAGTGACTCTGGCCCCAAACATATCTGGCAATTACTGGGGCACCACCCTCACCCTATCCTCCATCTCCCTGGCATCTTAAGAGAATGTGCTTGCCATGCCAGACACATCTCCAGTGTGATTTAACTTTTGTGGGCATCAGCCAACACTCAGCACACATAAAAAACCCAATCAGCTTCATCCCCATTTTTAACCGTGATAAGAGTCCAGAAAAGAGCTTCAAATAGGCAGAAGAGATTCCAGCTCATTTCTGAGGGTGAAAGCCAAAAGCAGCTTTCTCTCTACAGTGGAAGTGCACATCAGACATTCAGGAGATGAATTAGGAAAGTCAGAAAACTCCCACTATTCTCTAAAGGAAGCAGTAAGTTTCTTTCTCTCCTTTTAAAAGGGCTAACTTTGATTTTTTATGTCATTATTTCACACTGAAAAATTACTCACAGAAATAAAATTTCTTTTACATTTCTCTGTTTAAGATGCACAGAAACTGTGCCCCAGAGAAAATGAATATATTCATGAGAGGGCTGAGAACATATAAAGTACATTTCATATCATAAAACTCTCTATGTCTTACAAAGTGAAATCTGTGGGGAGCTGTTGGGCACGTTAAGATTACTAATGCCTTGGTCATTATAGCCAGAATTCACTTTAAATTTTGAAAAGCAAGCAACCAAAGTACTGAACTTGGTTATGTTCTGGTGAGACTCATAGTTAAAGGATCTGCTGACAATTGAATGATACTGAGATGTTATTATGCAGCATCTCTGAAGTCAGAATCCCAGCTTAACCACTTTTGAGTTGTATAAACTCAGATAATTTATTTAACCTTTCTGAAACTCAGTATTATGAATTACCAAATAGTGATAATGAGAGAACATGTTTTATATAGCATTTTTCCTATTGTGTAAGGTAACTCAAAACTTGCTGCATAGTAAGCTCATTGGCTAGTGGACAAAGTGGTAGTAGTGGTAAACTGACTATCAAAAAAAAAAAAGAAGAAGAAGAGGAATAGGAAGAGGAAGAAAAGAAGAAGAAGAAGAAGAAGAAGAAGAAGAAGAAGAAGAAGAAGAAGAAGAAGAAGAAGAGGAAGAAGAAAGAAAACAAGTAATAAACAAGGGACTGTATTAAAGTTCTGCATCTTTAAACTATATCTGGTCTTAGTGTATTGTCATATTTTTTCCCAATGTGATTCTTGTACCTGTCCTGTTTTGAATAATGTTCTTGAGATTTTTCTCAAAGATAGTTTTGGCTTTGTTCATGTATAGGAACATTCATAATAAGAATGCATCAGAAAATTCACAAAGTCTACAACTGAGGTTAAAAACATATAATAAAGCCTTGCTTCAAAATAATTATTTTATGATATTGGAGATTATTTATTTTAGAGATTATTTATTATAGATTTTAGAGATTAATTATTTATGATATTAGAGATTTTAGTACTGAGAAAACATTTTAGGGAAACCTAATTTGGTATCTGAAATATTATGAAATATATTAACCACATTTAACATATGCTCTGTATCTATATCTATCTGTATGTCCATGCAGATTTTAAATATAGATTCTATGTCTATGTAGAAAGATATATATTTTTGTATAAAATAAAGAGGCAAATGGTGCCATAATATTAACATCTATCATTTAAAATGCTGTGAGCAGTGGATTATATGAAGGGACAGAGAATAAATCAGTAAGGTCAATACCATTTCATTTTGCATATGAATGGGAAATCTACATTCTATCAAGTGCCTATACTCAATGTTCTTAATCAAAGCTATGGTGACACAGGTGAGAGACTTAAGTTAACTGTGCATGACTTAGAGTGAATCCATTCTTGTCAGCAGAAAGTGCATTTTCTGAAGCACATGTTCTAGTGTGATTAGCATTCTGTTTATTCATGAAATTTACTCCAACATGTAGAAACATGCTTTAGTTTGGGAAACAAACGCTTAAAATTAGGTAGAGTAAGGGTGAGATATACCTAGAATTGAGAAAGCCACATTTTAGAAAAAATCCAGTTTGGACAATTATGCTACATTTTTTTCAAGGGCATGAGAATCTCGCTCTGTAAATATATGGTTGTGATGATTACAAAACAGCCCAGTAAGCCTTTTAAAATAATGTTAGCAAGAAAGGGGAATAGCTACCAAAAGCAATTTATTTTTAATAGGGTGTGTGGTTGATTGCCAATAACAACATTTCAACAAATTGAATATTAGTATCAACAACCTTAAATAAAAACTGATTTTATACTATCTTATAAGAGCCAATTTTTATATTTTTATCTTCTACACATAATACAAAATAATAAACATGTTTTAATTGCAACTTGCTAAGTAATATATTGTGAATTAGTCAAATGTTTAAGATGAAACTTCAATTTTTGTTTTTTTGTTTATATTTTTACCCCAATAGGCAAACGTTTGTTTAGTTAACAAGTAAAATCAAAATGGAATCTTACATCCACAACTGAGAAAATACATGGCTTTCTCCTTCATATTAAGCATAATTATATAAGAAAATTAATCAATGTACTAATTGAAGGCTTAAATGCTCCAATTCTATCAGACTAGATGAAAACATCTCAAATTCTTTCAAGGATTTTTCAACTGTTTATAAGAGCTAGATTTATTTTCCTTATTAAAAATCTGGAAAGTGGCAATAGAAGCACATTGACATTGCAAACACTTCTGAAATTGTCAAGTCCATTTCCTACTGTTTTCTTCGTGGTGTTAGATCTGAAATGTGTTGCCTAAATGTGACCTCAACACTTGACAATTTACAAAGCACGTTCACAAACTTTGACTCACAATATCTCTGAGAGAGTACTGCATATTAGAAAAAAATGCTCTGATTAAGCTATTTTCCCCTGAGTCTCATACTCTAAAAGATGATGAATTAGGTTTTGTTTTGTTTTGTTTTGTTTTGTTTTTTTGAGATGGAGTCTCGCTCTGTCGCCCAGGCTGGAGTGCAGTGGCGCAATCTCGGCTCACTGCAAGCTCTGCCTCCCGGGTTCACGCCGTTCTCCTGCCTCAGCCTCCCGAGTAGCTGGGACTACAGGCACCCGCCACCACGCCCGGCTAATTTTTTTGTATTTTTAGTAGAGACGGGGTTTCACCGTGTTAGCCAGGATGGTCTCGATCTCCTGACCTCGTGATCCGCCTGCCTTGGCCTCCCAAAGTGCTGGGATTACAGGCTTGAGCCACCGCGCCCGGCCGATGAATTAGGTTTTAATCTCTGAGCATTGGACTCTATATCCTATGATCTTTTAAATACCACATAGTACCTTTTATCTGGTTATAATAAAACTAGTCGTTCATAGAAAATAACTGTTTCCATTTTAAAATCTTACATATTCTAGAGAGCTATATCCTTTCAAGTGACATTATGTCCCTTAGGAGACTTGATGCTCAAATCAACTTAGATAAACTTGAAACTTCAATGTAAGGAAATTACAATTCGGTAGGGTGCCAAATTGCTCCAAAAAACCAACATAGGACATCATTACAATATTACGTGACTCTTTCACCAGAACTGCTTATCTGACATGAAACAGAGCTGGAGCCTTTCTATAGAGGGAGTAATTCTTGATGGGGGTTAAAATCTGGAAAGAAGTTAAAATTTAGAGAAATGTTTCTTCACGCTTGAGTTTCTCAGCATCTAAGTGCTCAAATGGAAGAGTAGAAGAAGATAAGAAATTGTATTCTCTTGTCTATCTGTGATCCTCAGGGATGCAATCACAGGCTGTCTCTAATCAATCATATACATTAAAGGTGCAAACTCTTCTCTATGTGCTACCTGGAAGAAGACATTAGTATCAAAGTGCAGCTACCTGTCCAGGCAAATGTAGCTCATGAAGTACTTTTTCCCCTGAGCATCTTAGTCAGAATTTTATTCCCTAAGTACAAAGTCCCTCAAAAATTTTATTTTACAAGAATGAGACTTACTTAAGGCTCACTTTCTTCCAAAGTCAGACACTCATTTGTACAATGCTTGATAAATGCATACTAAAGACGTTCAACTGTAGATTCCCATACTTTCCAACTCCGAAAATCATAATTGATGTTTCAACATTCGCTATTTCCTCTGCCTCATTTAATTAATGATGACTGACTTTTATTCTCTCTCTCTCTCTCGCTCTCTCTCTCTCTCTCTCTCTAATGGGAAACACAGCTTGCTTTTGAAGTGAAATATTGGTAGGTAGTCATACTGTTATCTTAATAATTTCCCTTAGGATAAAATGTAACCCTAGATGAAAATGTCTACATTTGCTTATCAATTTGCAGACCCATCCTAGTACCTGACCCACCCCACCAACCAAAAAAAAAAAAAAAAAAACAGTATAGCTGACAGCTTTTAAAAAAGGAAATCCTGAATTATATGGAGGGGAGAATAAATGATTAAGAATAAGAACTCTAACTGGTAGCAAAGCTAGGAGGCTTCAATGAAAGCAGAGAAAGTGGGAAAAATCGTTGTTACATAAAGAGGAGAAGATATCTGGATTATCATTTGCAAACTGAGGGAATGTGTCACCATGCTGATGTGGCACTGAGATAGAGAGCCCCTGTGCTGGGTCAGGGTACAAGGAATATTCATCTGAGGAGACTTAGATGGAAAGTGATCCAAAATTGCAGTCATTTGAACAAAATCACTTCTGTAAATAACTAAAGTAGAAACTAAGAGAATTGATGTATGTAGATTTGGATAATGGATATTAGGACTGTATGTGGAGCTCAATAAGAGCTGAACAAAGTTTTAGGACCCAGATGTTAATGATGTACAAGTCTTGGAGCTTCCTTCTCACACAATGCTGGGTGCCTAGTGCAGAGAGTGGAAAACAACATAAAGAGATTGCACAGTGCTTGGTAAAAGAGGAGACATTTGTTCATCCATTCATTTGTAAATGTTTATTGAAAGTCTGTGCTATGTGAAGCACATTTATAGGTACTAGGAACATACTGGTCAAAAAAAAATCTCATGGAACTTTTGAATAGGTGGAGACAGCAATATATATGACAAATCAATGAAACACATAGTATTTTGCTACCAATAAGAGCTTTTTAAAAAAAGCAGGAAAGAGGGCAATAAGGGTCTTGGGGTTGAATTTTAGCTAGTATGGCTAGGAAAATTGTCCCTGAGAAGATGGATTTGAGTAAGGAAAGAGAAATGTAAGGGAACAAATAATCAGGATATCTGGGAAATGTTCTTTCCGGCAGAGGAAAGAACAATTTCGAGGGACAGAAGGAGACTACTGTGTTTGAAGCACAATGAGCAAAGATGGTTGCATCAGAAGATGAGTTCAGAGAAAATATGGGGGTAACAAAAGGTAGAGAGGTGAGGAGAACATGTTGGGCCTTGTACTCTATTGAAAAGGACTTATTACTTTTATTCTGAGTGAAAAATAAAGTCATTGGGAAATTTTGAGCAGAGGACAGACACAATCCAACCTATCATTTAATAGCATCGTGTTGGCTGCTCTTTTGAGATTAGACTTGGTGAGAGGAAGAGGAAGGTCTCCTTAGAAAGATCATCCAGGAGAATATTGAAGTAATCTACATAAAAAAGAAGAGGTGTTTGGAAAAGGTTTGTTATAGTGGAAGTGATGACAGCAATCCTATTCTTGATAATTTTTGAAGGTAAATAGAGAAGAAAAAATTTTTTGCTCAGTGACTTTACCTTTCTGGAATATAACAGACAAGGAAATTTGGAAAAAATGAGAAATTTTATAACAGTAAGTTTGATGGTACACAGTGGCTCAAAATGTTATAGAATACTTTGAAAGATTATACTTGATATGGTTCGGCTGTGTCCCCACCCAAATTTCATCTTGAATTGTAGCTACCATAATCCCCATGTGTCCTAGGAGGGACCCTTTGGGAGGTAAGTGAATCAGGGGGACAGGTTTTCCCCCATGCTGTTCTCGTGATAGTGAATAAGTCTCAAGAGATCTGATGGTTTTAAAAGAGCAGTTCCCCTGCACACACTCTCTTGCCTGCCTCCATGTAAGATGTGCCTTTGCTCCTCTTTCACCTTCCCTTATGTTAGTGAGGCCTCCCTAGCCATGTGGAATTGTGAGTCCATTAAACATCTTTTTGTTTGTAAGTTACCCAGTCTTGGGTATTTCTTACAGCAGCATGAGAACAGACTAATACAATACTATAGCAAAGTTTCACAATAGTTACTTTAATTAGAACTGAATAGAGTATAACAGTGATTAAGAGCATGGACTGTACAGATCAACATATGTTGGTTAAAATCTTAGCTATGGCAATTATTAGCCATGTGACCCTGAGTACCCTACTTAAAATGTTTCTTTGTCATATCTGCAGAAGAAGGCAATAATATTAATACTACAGTATTATTCTGAATATTATATGATCTTAGTTTCTTATTGTAATCTTTGGACTCTGATGAATGCTATTTCTATTATATTTATTATGATCATTATTATTTATTCCTTTGAGCTTACTATGGCCTCAGAAATTTGTTGGTTTTGCTAATAATAAATGACCTTAAAGGGCTTATTTTAAAATAGGAAAACACTGGACTTGAAGTTAAAATCTAAATTCAAATGTGGTAGTCATTTATCCAGACTTATGGTTTACTGATATTAAGGCCAAATTAGATCTTAGATCTTCAATTCAGTGTTTTTTCTATTATGCTATAATTGTAAAGGAACATGGGTTGTACTATACCCTACAAGATTCCAAAGCCTTACATAACTTGTTGTAAGACAACCAGCCAAGTGTATGTGCCACTAGTTGTGGATCTTTCGGGCTGACAAAAGCAATCAGCCTCACTTTTTGACAGAGCTTGGTTTTTGTGAATCAGGTTGGCCCATTTTCTGAGAGCCACACTGGAGACTCAGAAACTGTCAAATGAGAAACCATTTGGGGCACATTAAGACTGACTTGGTATCTATCAATGATTGCTAATGTTACCAGAGTAATTTATTGGGACAGGATTCTGAGAATAGTGGTCACTGCCACATCTGGGAATTTTCCTTTTACCACAGGCTGCTACAGAAAATAACTTTATTCCTCATCTGATTTTTAATTCAGGTGGAATTAGTAATGGGGGACAAAATGAGCTAAAGACTAGTTTAAGCATATGCATGGAAGCAACTTCATAACCAAGTTTTATAATTTTCTGCATCACTAAATTAATCTAAGGTCAAAAAACATATCTTATAGTGATTGCAGGATAGGATATTGAAATGTCCATGATCATAGAATGTGCTTCTAACTTTTTGCTCAAGGGTGGAACACACTGACCAAACAGAATAGCACCCAACTCTTTCCCAGGTACTCTCTATTTTTGAATGAATGAGCTTACATTTGAATACGCAAGTGGCTTTTGATACACTGAAATGCAGAAAAACAAAATGTCTCGTCTACCAGAAGTTCTCTGTATGCACACATGCACACACAGGCAGATTTTTGAAAATAAAATTAAATGAATTTTTTATTTCATGAAATTATTTACTATTTTGAAGCATTGTTTTAATTTGTGAGTTTTTATAATGTAGAGGGTTTATAATAAATTACTTTAACTGATTCTGTTGAGATAAGGACCAAATTCCAAAGCTATTGTTGGAAAACAGAATCGCTTAAGGAAATGCATTCTTACATGTTCCCTGTGCAGTATTTCCAGGGAAGAAGTGAGGTACTCTCAAGAGACAACATTTGTATGTTATTCATGCTCAGCATGTCATCCAGCAGCCAGGACATTGTTGGAACAAGTTGGCACCTTAGTAGGTTTTGTGCATATATAGTGTTCAATTAGCAGAAGAAATTAATTTTGCTAGTCAGAAATAAATCCTTTATGCTTGGAATTACTGTGAATAAAGCTGGTGAACTCTAATGTAATATTACTTTATAGATCCTACTAGTTACTTTAGGCCTTCCAAACATACTGTAATCTAAATTACTGTCAAGAAAGTGAGTATGAACCAAAAAATTATTTTCATAGCTAGATAAGTAAGCAAATAAAATTAGGTCAGAGAGATTCCCCTGTTGCTAGAATGGCATCAAGACAATCTTTAGAACTTAAAATAGCATGAGATAATTATATACCTCAATATTTCCTAAACTGTTTCCTCCTATAACTCTTATTTAATGAAATTTCAGTAATTTTTTTAAAAAAGGTTTTTGAGGTTAAATAAATATTGCAGCATAAAGATGAACATATCAAGATATTCTTTCAGCTGAAAATGACTTAGTGATCATCTTTTCCAACTCATTTTACAAATGAAAAAAACAGAGATTTGACTCTTGTTAGCTAGCTAACAAGACCCTGGCAAATCTTGGTAGATTCTAAAATACAACATAGAGCTCCTGTAGTCACATGATGCCACAAAATAAATGTATAAGTAAATGTCTGTAAAATACTTTCCAGTGAACTTAAAATCATCCCATTATTTTTTAAATTTAAATAAAAATAATAATAAATCATGGATGTGTAGATACATTTTAATGTTAGTTTTAATGGGTAGATCTTCCCAAGGAAAATTTATTATTATTGTTACCTGATTATTAAAATAATTGCTAAAAATAGTCACTGTTAAGATTTTACTAGCTATGTACTATGCTAAGCACATTCCAAGTGTTCTATGATATAGAGAGTGTGTTTATCCCATCTTACAAATAGGGAAACATTCAAAGTCTCATATTTAGAAAACAGTGGACCTGAGGCTCAAACTCCATGCTCTTTTCCACTCTGTACTGCTTCCTCCTTTAGCAAAAAGTTTAAACAATATAATATTAAGTTAATTCATTAAGATTGTCTTCTAAAGTATGGTTTTAGAAACTGAAATGTGCATTACAATGAGCAGAATAAAACATCTCCTCTAAGCTCAGAAGCTTCCCAGAAACACAAAGCTAGAATGCGGCTTGACTCTCACACTCATCTTTCTCAACCAGTCTTCTTTCATAGCCAAGGGAGAAATCTAATTGTTCTAGACATGCAGGGTATTTTGAGGCAGAAGACAAAAGCCTAGATTCATGGGAACTGGTTTTATGTCTGATCTTGTGATTCCCTGTAGAATCCTTGGTATAAAAATTCATTCCTATGCTTTAAGTTCACATCCACTGTCATTATAGATTATTAATTCTGTTTTATTTGCTTACATATAGCCATTGTCAGGTAAAGCTTTTCATAATTAGGTGATTTTACAGTATAAATTTGGATTTGAAAAATATAAAAATACAATCCAAAGTATGCATGTAAAAATGCTTGAAATCATAAGAAATTTGTTTAATGTGTGACTAAGATGTTGACATTTATATTATGGCAAAGTAGAAAGACCACTTGTTTGGAAATCCTGAGAGATTGGTTTTAGTTACTTTGTCAGTAAAAGCTGGAATGGACTTGGATAAAGTCATCTACACATCCTTAGTCTCATGGTCTCTAAGAGTTTAGTTTCTTGAATGAGACTGCCTGGATTCAAATCCCAGCTCTCCATCCCAGTTGTGTGGCCTGGGGCAAAGTCTTTAACTTCTCAGTTTTTCTGAATCATTATCAGAATAATAGAAGTAAATGGAGTACCTATATCATAAAGTTGTTATATTGGTTAAGTGAGTTAATACATCAAAATCTCTGAGAAAAAACAACAATACCTGGCAGATATTAAGTACTATATAAATGCTATTCTTATTTTATATCCAGTCAATTACTTTAATTGAGCACATACCATGTACTAGACACTGAGCAAAGGGTGGAGGATAGTAAAAAAGAGTTAGACAAGGTTCCATCCCTCCTGCATCTTGAAATTCAGTATATAACATGTAAATAGATAAAGTCATCATTACCTCACCTGTGGAACAAACATTGCTAAAAGCATCTCATGATACAGACAAAATTAGGCAAAAAAAGCAACTTGCCTTTATGATTCTAAACAGATTTTTATAACAGTATAGGGTTTTAACTGATGAAGGGTGGGCAATGGGAAGAAAGACTTTAGGTGAACACTGAATAAACAGCAGATGCCAGTTCATGGAGTATAAAGGTGTGTGGTGTGTCTAGGCAACCAGAAATAGTTGGTATTGCTGGTAGAAGGGAACTGGTGAATGGTAAAGTTAAGCTTAGAGATGTAGACAAGGGCCAGAAACAAGTAGACTTTATGTCCTAAAAATGTTCCCATTATTTTCAGGATTAAAAAAAAAGAACCATTAAAGGGATTTAAATGGAATAAATGATCAGATTTGTGTATTAAGAAGCTCACTCTTGGTGCACTGATTTCCTATATGGATGAAGAAAACAAGGAAGACAGCAGACTGTCTAAGAGGATGTTTTGATTTATAATAGAGAGATGAAAAGGATAGCTGAAAGAAGAGATAAAACCAAAAAGAAAGATGTGAGAATTATAACCTCAGTTTACTAGATTAAATTTGGTGGTATATGCACTCTCCAGCCCTCACCTGCTCATCAGAAAAAAACAAGCTTGTAGGCCTGTAGAGCACAGGAAATGAAAATTTCCTTCTAGACGCTGCATTCTCTGAAAGACAGCTGTGAATTGAGGATAAATATTATTGCTCCATATCCTCATACATTTACAGTGCAAAGATTCAGATATTATTGTACTTTCCCTACCAATGAAAAGTTACTCAGCGTTAGGATTCTTACATGCAAACATTAGTGACTGCAAAGATGTTCGCTAAATGATCAATGCATAATATGCAATATCATTGTCTTTTAAATACACACTTTTAACCGCACACACAATAAGTAGCAGCTTGAATGGGGCTTCTGTGACACCGAATTTCTTTTAGTCTAGAGTAAGTGACAAAAAATTATTCACACTTCATCATTTTATTTGTAGCTTTAACGTATTATTTCATGTTCCACAATAAAGGTCAGTTTTGAATGGAAGGTTTATTTTTAATACATACTCTTTCTCAATTATCCCAGTATAATACCAATTGAATCAAAGAAATTCAGGGAGCTATCTGGGGTCTTCGAATGCTTTCTGGTCTACCTCCTTCCAGCCGTGGAAGAGAAATTTATGGCTCAGGGAAGTTTATGATTGGCCTAAGGCTGTTGAGCAGAAAGAAAGCATAAGAGAGCCCAAGACTCCTTGTTCTGTTTCTTCTTCTTCTTGTTCAATACACCAGATTCTGATTTTTTTCTTTATTCTAGTCCCTTATAGCTAGTCAATTTCATATTTTTACTTAAACATATAATGGGATGGAAAGCATAGAAGAGGTCACATAGAGAAACTCCTCTCATTATCTTCTAATGCAGAAGCAGATTCCAGGGATTAGAAGACTATATCTGCAGCTCAGCCATGAAGACCACACTGCAAAACAAAATCAGCTCAGCTCTCAGCTCGGCTCATTCTTTTTTTTTTTTTTTTTCAGGTATTTTTTCCTTTTAAACTTCAATTTTTCACATCTGAAGAGACTACATATGTAATGAACTTTTGCATTTGTTGGCTAACACACTCAACAGTGCAGGTTTGAATAAAATGTAAAACACCTACAATGAATAATAACCACCAACAAAGTGCACTGTCTAAAGAATTGAATAACATAGCTTGACAGTCTCTGTGCATTCTCCAGTACTTCACCCTGCAACACCGAGAAAATGTGTGGAAGAAGCCAAGTTAAATAAAGAGTTACTGAATTATCGTGGGATGTTGAAATTTCCTATCCTGAGAAATGTACATTTCTGTTTAGCAGCCTGGAGGGAGAAAAAGCAAAAACATACCAAGAGGGACTAACTTGGACAATAGGTCGTAAACACTAAGGAGGCTGCAGTAGGGGAAGGCAAAAATTGATCTACGGGATTTAGGGAAAAATCTATTAAATTAGAAGAAAATAGCCAGAGGTTGAGTGAAACACCACTAGTGATGTGCATTCATACATTTCCTAGTGTTCTAGGGATGGAAAAGCTACTGAGGGTAGTTTTGTAGAGCAGTCAGTTGACAAGGAAAATGAGTATCTGTTCAGTCTTCTTTATTTCTTTTTAGTTTTTGTGGATACATAGTAGGTGTATATATTTATGGGGTACATGAATGTTTTGGTACAGGCATGCAATGTGAAATAAGTATGAACATTCTTCATCAATAACACCATGAAGAATGGGATAGCCATCCCCTGAAGCATTTATCCTTTGATTTACAAATAATACAATTGCATTAAGTTATTTAAAAATATAAAATAAAGTTATTATTGACTATAATCACCCTATTGTACTATCAAGTAGTAGGTCTTATTCATTCTTTATATTTTTGTTGTACCAATTAACCATCTCCAAATCTCCCCCAACCCCCACTACTAGTAACCATTCTTCTACCCTCTACGTTCATGAGTTCAATTGTTTTGAATTTTAGATCCCACGAATAAGTAAGAACATGTGATGTTTGTCTTTCTGTGCCTGGTTTATTTCTCTAAAGTCTTAATTGGAAAGAGTGCAGTGATCTAATAGAGATACTAACCCCGGACCTTTGAGTGGGGAATGATGACATTCAACCTCTATATTTAATGACCCTAATTATGGTCCAGTTGACCCATTTATAGATGTACAAATAGACATCCCAAAATGCCACCTGCTTTTCTAAATTTATGCAGCCATTCAGTGGCAGATCCTGACTTGAAAGACCGGAAGTGTCGTTTTCCCTGTGGAAGTGGGATGGACTTACAACCCAAAATTGATTCAGATGTCAAGACTGATGAAGTCACACCTGCACTAGGAGGAAATAATAAAAATTATTACTCACATAGTGAGGCTTTCTAGCGATAGCATGGCAGGCTCATGAGCAGTTCCAAAAATGGATTGAGAGAGCAAAGAGGGCTCTCTCTGGCTTCAGACTTTATTGTGTTAGGTAATGGGGCTAGGGTAAGTTTTCCCATGCACCATCAAAGTATTGCACGATTGCATAGTATATTAGTTTTTTTGGGGTACCGTAAAAATTACCATAAACCAGGTGACTTAAAACAACAGAAACATTTTATTTCAAGATCTGGAGTCTAGAAGTCTGCAATCATAGTGTCAGTGCCATTGGTTCATTATAGAGGCTCTGAGAGAAAATATGTCCCATGCCTTTCTCCTAGTTTCTTCTGGTGGTTGCCAGCAATCTTGGTCATTTCTTGGCTAGTACCTTCATCACTCCAGTCTCTGCCTCCATCATCATATGGCTGTCTTTCCTGGGTGCTGTTGTGTGTCCTCTCCTCTACTTAGAAAGACATCAGTCATAGTGGATTAAAAGCTCACCTTAATCTTATATGACCTCACTTTAATTTAGCCAATTACATCTTCAAAGTCCCTATTTCCAAATAAGGTCACATTCTGAGGTTCTAAATAGATATGAACTTTGAATAGGACACTATCCAACCTAATTCACGCTGGTTCAAACTTCCTGATGGTGCCAGAGAAGGGAAATCACAGGTTTTATTACTAACTTTTTCAGATGCAGGGCAAGAAGGAACAAGGGAGAGGTGGAAATTTGGAAGCTTTTAGCACTCAGACATCAAATATATAGTCAGATTCCTCATTTCAAAAAGTCTCTTGCTTCCTCAGTAAGTTACACTCTTCACTTAGTCAACCAGGTAGGTCAACACTAACATTTGTCTTTCAAATTTGGACACTTATGACTGTGAAAAGGGGATGCTAAAATGGTTAAGATGTTGACACATCTACAAAAGCTGTATTCCATTTTTTCCTAGGCATGTATGATTATGTATTCAGTCTGCCCAATAATAAAGAATACCAAATTCAGAAATATCAAAATATTTTCGGAAAAATAGATTACATAATTTAAGGAATTATTTCTCCATAGTATTGTAAATCTGATGAGGAGAGAAGTGAGCATAGGAATGGCAGAAACCAAGTTGGACCTATGGGAAGAGACTTGGGATAATAAGAAAGAATGCAATTATAAGAATTGCAATTTGAAGTAAGGGACTAGGCTCAGAAATGTGCCCAAACCCATTTAATTCAATTTAATTCAACCTAGGCAATAATTTACACTACAGCTAGAAGCAATGTTGATTTGATGGTAAGTTCCTTGACTAGGAAAATAGAGTAAATTTGAACAAATTTCAGATCTTAGCACAGCCAGGAAACAATGAGGACTTTAGGGATATGGAATTCTTTAGACCTAAACCTCCTTTATACAAGTGTTTTGTAAACCTTCCTTCTTTGCTATCTTAAGATAAAATGCATGCTATTTACATCACACATACAATAATAATTAGAAATAAATATAGCTATCTAAGTGTAATAAAAGGAGAAATAAAAGGAAAGTGATTTCTAAAACTGCATATTGATATGTAAATGGATAAACTCTTCTGCAGTAGAAAACATAATAGAGCACTCAGATGTCTTCACCTAGATGTGGGTGAGACAACTGCAAATGAAGCCCATGGTAATGGGGACTTAAAAATGAGTGAAGTGGCTATCTGTCATGTAATTTTCTGAAATGAAGACCAGCTATTGGTAAAGATCTAAACAAAATAAAACATGATATTCTCTTTCTTTCTTTTTTTTTTGGCAGTTTTTTTTTTTATACTTTAAGTTTTATGGTACATGTGCACAATGTGCAGGTTTGTTACATATGTATACATGTGCCATGTTGGTGTGCTGCACCCATTAACTCGTCATTTAACATTAGGTATATCTCCTAATGCTATCACTGCCCGCTCCCCTCTCCCCACAACAGGACCTGGTTTATGATGTTCCCCTTCCTGTGTTCATGTGTTCTCATTGTTCAATTCCCACCTATGAGTGAGAACATGCAGTGTTTGGTTTTTTGTCCTTGCGATAGTTTGCTGAGAATGATGGTTTCCAGCTTCATCCATGTCCCTACAAAGGACATGAACTCATCATTTTTAATGGCTGCATAGTATTCCATGGTGTATATGTGCCACATTTTCTTAATCCAGTCTATCATTGTTGGACATTTGGCTTGGTTCCAAGTCTTTGCTATTGTGAATAGTGCCGCAATAAACATATGCATGCATGTGTCTTTATAGCAGCATGATTTATAATCCTTTGGGTATATAACCAGTAATAGGCTTGCTGGGTCAAATGGTGTTTCTAGTTCTAGATCCCTGAGGGATCACCACACTGACTTCCACAATGGTTGAACTAGTTTACAGTCCCACCAACAGTGTAAAAGTGTTCCTATTTCTCCACACCCTCTCCAGCACCTGTTGTTTCCTGACTTTTTAATGATCGCCATTCTAACTGGTGTGAGATGGTATCTCATTGTGGTTTTGATTTGCATTTCTTTGATGGCCAGTGATGATGAGCATTTTTTCATGTGTCTTTTGGCTGCATAAATGTCTTCTTTTGAGAAGTGTCTGTTCATATCCTTCAGCCACTTTTTGATGGGGTTGTTTGTTTTTTTCTTGTAAATTTGTTTGAGTTCATTGTAGATTCCGGATCCTGATATTCTCTTTCTTTATATTGTAGTTTCATTCCTTGAAAAGTCCACACATATTTAAAACTTGCACAACTATTTTAATCTATATGTAAAACAGAATTCAATTCCAGGTTTAGATTACCGTGAGCAGATTTTCTTCATTAGTTTGAGTGTCAGATTGAACACCTATGTGCCCAACATTCACTGTAACAAACAAAACATTTCCTGACAAATATCCAAAATGCCCCAGAAGCCATGAAAATGGATAATTTCAAATTTTAAGGTTAAGAGGGAATGTAGTTCTTCCTGCATAGCCGGTGTTTACTTGCACTTTTTAATGTAATTTTTGAAAACCACCAATTAAAGCGAATTTTAATAGATTCTGTCAATCACAGAAATTAAAATGCCCTCACCTTTCTAACTTAGTACATTTATTTAATGCTGTGAGAACACTTCACTCAGCAGAGAAAGGAAGACTAATGTCTGTTAGGGTTTGTTTATTTTAATCAAATAGAGAATAGGGTCATCCAGTAAATATTGGCATGGATAGGACTGTGATGAAGCAAATAGCTTCAAATAGAGAAATGGAGACACATTTCTGACCAAATATTTATGAAGATAATCATCAGAAGTAACACATATAAGCTTCATCTTGTAAAGATATTGGAAATAGAGTTCAGGTTGCTGGAATGCTATCTAGGTACTGGGCCACTGACTTCTTAATAAGAAAAAGCAGTGATCTACTGAGAGTTTATGTGAATATACATATGTGTGTGTGTGTGTATATATATATATATATATATATATATAAAATAAATCAATGCATCGAGTGATTGCATAGACAGTATTAACAGAACTATAGGGTCTAGAACCAGAAGGTTTTCCGTACTCATCAGACATTATCAGCTATAATATAGTTCATTTTGTTATGCTTTGTGTTATTTTTCTTTGGATATTTTGCAATTTTTACAAATTGAAGGTCTGTGGTAACCCTGCATAAGGCAAGTCTATTGGCACCACTTATCCAACAGCACGTGCTCACTTTGTGTTCCTGTGTTACGTTTTAGTTACACTTTTTCATTATTATTAAATCTGTTATGCTGATCTCTGATCACTTATCTTAGATGTTGCTATTGTAATTGTTCTGGGGACTCCATAAGCAGTACTCATACAAAATGGTAAACTTAATTGACAAATGTTGTGTGTGTTCCATCTGACCCACTGATGATCCATTCTCCCATCTGTCTTCTCCTTCTTGGGCCTCCTTATTCCCTGAACTACAACCATATTAAAATTAAGATAGTTAATAACCCTACAGTGACCTCTAAGTGTTCAAATGAAGGGAAGACTCACATGGCTCTCACCTTAAGTCAGAAACTGGAAATGATTAAGCTCAGTGAAGAAGGCAAGTCAAAAGCTGAATTAGGCCAAAAGCCAAGCCTCTTGTGCCAAACAGCCACATCATAAATAGAAAAAAAAAAGTCGTTGAAGAAAATTACAAGTACTACTTCAATGAACACACAAATGATAAGAAAGCAAAACAGCTTTATTGCTGATATGGAGAAAGTTCTAGTGGCCTGGACAGGAGATCAAACCAGCCACAACATTCAACACCCACTCTCTTTAATTATATGATTAGAAAGGTGAGGAAGCATCAGGAGAAAAGTTTGAAGCTAGCAGAGGTGGGTTCATGAGCTTTAAGGAAAGAAGCCACGTTCATAACAAAGGAATGCAAGGTGAAGCAGCAAGTGCTGATATAGAAGCTGTGGCAGGTTATCCAGATGATCTAGGTAAAACAACTGATGAAAGTGGCTACACCAAACAACAGATTTTCAATGTAGACAAAACAGCTTTCTACTGGAAGAAGATGCCATCTGGGACTTTAATAGCTAGAGAGAAGTCAATACCTGACTTCATGGCTTCAAAGCTTCAAGGGACAGGCTGACTGTCTTGTTAAGGGCTAACATAGCTGGTGACTTAAGTTGAAGCCAATGTTCATTTACCAGTCTGAAACTCCTACAGCCCAGAAGAATTGTGCTAAATCTACTCTGCCTGTGATCTACACATGAGACAACAAAATCTGGATGACAGCACTTCTGCTTACAGCATGGTTTACTATATATTTTAAGCTCACTGTTGAGACCTACTGATCAGAAAAAAAGATTTATTTCAAAAAATCACCATTCATTAGCAATGCACCTCGTCACCTAAGACTCTTACAGAGATGTACAAGAATGTTAATGATTTCTTTTGCCTGCTAAAACAACACCCATTCTTCACCCCATGAATCAAAAAGTAATTTTGAGACATACCTTTCATAAGGCTGTAGCTGCCATAGTGATTTCTCTGATGGATCTTGGCAAAGTAAATTGGAAATCTTGTAGAAAGGATTCACCATCCTAGATGGTATTTAAAATAATTGTTTAATGTTTGTAGGAAGAGGCCAAAATATTAACATTAACGGGAATTTGGAAGAAGTTGTTTCCAGCTCTCATGGATGACTTTGAGGGCTTCAAGACTTCAGTAGAATAAGTAACTACAGTTTTGATGGAAAGAGCAGGAGAACCAGAGTTGGAAGTGGGGCCTGAAGAGGTGGCTGAGTTGCTGCAATCTCATGACAAAATTTTAATGAATAAGGAGTTACATTTTATGGATAAGCAAAGAAAGTGGTTTCTTGAGATAGAATATATTCCTGGTCAAAATACTGTGAACATTGTCGAAATGACAACAAAATATTTAGAATATTATGTAAACTTAGTTGACAAAGCATAGGCAAGGTTTGAGAGAAGTAACTCCAATAGTCACATAAGTTCTGTGGGCAAAGTATTATCAAACAACATCCCATGCTACAGAGAACTGTTTCATGAAAGAAAGAGTCAATTGATGTGCCAAACTTCTTTGTTTTCCTATTTTGAGAAACAGGCACAGCCATCCCAACCTTCAGCCACCACAATCCTGATTAGTCAGCAAGCATCAATATTGAGGCAAGACCCTCCACCAGCAAAAAGATTACAATTGCTGGAGACTCAGATGCTTGTTAGCATTTTTAAGCTATAAAGTATTTTTTTCACCAAGGTATGCACATTATTTTTTAATGCATAATGTCAGTGGACACTTAAAACACTACTATATAGTCTAAATATAACTTTTATATGCACTGAGAAACCAAAACAAAATTGTGTGATTCTCTTTATTGCTATATTTGCTTTAATGCTCAAGCTTGGTACCAAACTTGTAATATCTCTGAGGTATGCCTGTATTAAGTTTATTTCAGCTTGCATATTTTAAGAAGACAGATTGGAAAATATTTTTTAAAACATCAGCCAAGTGATGAAAGGGCTAAAATATGTGTATGTGCATATGGATAGTGTTCTGTATGCAGACCACGAATCTTTAAAAAATACTCATGTTTCAACTTCTTGTATTTACCATATTTTTATGCAAATATTACATTATATTTTGAAGTGCATATTTCAATTAATGTTCTTTTTGAAATGATGGTAAAAACATATAGCATAAAATCTGCTCTCTTAACTGTTTAAATGTACAGTACACTTTTGCTAACTATATGCACATTGTTATACAGCAGATCTTTAGAACTCTTTCATTTTGCTTGACTGAAATTCTGTACCCATTGAACAATACCTCCTCATTACCTCTTTATCCCCAGCTCCTGGCAGCCACTATTGTACTTTCTGCTTCTATGAATTTACTTTCTTTACATACCCCAAATACGTGGTCTTGTGGTATTTGTCCTTCTGTGACTGGCTTATTTCAATTTGCGTAATGTCTTCAAGGTTCATCAATGTAGTAGCAGCTGATAAGATTTTCTTCTTTTTAAGGCTTAATAATATTATATTGCATGTATATACCACATTTTCTTTATCTACTCATGTGTTAGTGGACATGTAAACTCTTTCCACCTCTTGGGTATTATGAATAATGTTATAAGAAACATGGAAGTGCAAATATCATTTTGAGATCCTGATTTCAAATATTTTTTAGAAATACTCAGAAATGGGATTTTGGGGTCATATGGTCGTTTTATTTTTAGTATTTTGAGGAAGACCCAGACTGTTTCAGACAGATAGATAGTGGCTGCACTATTTTTACATTCTCCCCTAACGTAAAAGAGTTCCAATTTCTCCACATTCTCATCAATACTTCTTATTTTTTGTTGTTTTTTGTTGTTGTTATTTTGATAATGGCTATTCTAACAGCTACAAAGTGATATTTCCTTATGGTTTTGATTTTCATGTTTCTGATGATTAATGATGTCGAGCATCTATTCACACACCAGTTGGCCATTTGTATGTCTTTTTTTGAGAAAGGTCTATCCAAGCCCTTTGCACATCTTTTAAATTGAGTTATTTATTTTCTTGCTATTGAATTGTAAGAGTTTCTTACGTATCTTTAATATTAACCCCTTTTCAGATATGTGGTTTGCAAATATTATCTCCAATATTATATGTTGTCCTTTTCTCTGTTGATTATTTCTTTGCTGTGCAGAAGCGATTAGTTTGATATAGTCTCATTTTTCTAGTTTTGCTTTTGATGTCTTTGCTTTTGGTGTTGTATCCAAAACAGTATTGTCAAAGCCAATGCTAAGAAGCTTTTCCCCTACATTTTCTAATGAGAGTTTTATAGCTTCAGGGCTTACATTTAAGTGTTTAATGCATTTGAGTTAATTTTTATGTATGGTGTAAGTCAGGGGTCCATTTTCACTCTTTTGTGGATATTCAGTATTTCCAACACCATTGGTTGAAGGGACAATCCTTTCCCCATTGTGTAGTCTTGGTACTCAGGTCAAAGATCATTTAACTGTATATGCATGGGTTTCTCAGGAATCTTTATTCTGTTTCATCGGTATATGTCTGTCTTTATGCCAGTTTCATACTATTTTAATTACCATACCTTTGTAATATGTTTTGAAGTCAGGAAGTGTGAGGCTTCCATTTTCAACCTTCTTTTCAAGATTGTTTTGGCTATTTGGGATCCTTTGTGGTTCCATATAAATTTTAAGATTATTTCTTTTCCATTTCTGCAGAAACAATCATTGGTATTTTGATAATAATTGCATTGAATCTGTAGATATCTCTGGGTAGTATTGACATTTAAACAGTATTGAATCTTTCAGTCCATTGACACAGTATGTCTTTCCATTTATTTATGTCTTCTTTAATTCCTTTCAGTAATATTTTATATATTTCAGTGTACAAGTCTTTTATCTACTTGGTAAATTTCAATGCTAAGCATTTTGTTATTTTTAATGCTATTATAAATGGGACTGTTTCCTTAATTTGCTTTTTAAATTGTTTATTTTAGTGTATAGAAAAGCAACCGATTTTTATATGTTGAGCTTGTATCCTGCAACCTTGCTGAATTGCCTTATTTAGTTCTAATAGTTGTCTTGTGAAATCTTTAGTGTTTTCTACATATAAAATTATGTGTTTGTGAATAAGGATAATTTTAGATCTTTTTTTTTATTTGAACGCTTTTTGTTACTTTTTCTTTCCTAATTACTCTAGCTAGAACTCCCAGGACTATGTTTAATAGATGTGGTGAGAGTGGGCATACTTGCCTTGTTTGTAATCTCAGAGGAAAAGCTTTCCTTCTTTCACCTCATACTATTGAGTATGAGGTTAGCTGTGGGCTTTTCATGTATGGCCTTTTTATTTTGAGGTAATATTATTCTATTCCTAGTGTGTTGAGTGTTTTTATTGTAAAAAGTTGTTTAATTTTGTCAACTCTATTTAGATTTTCATATGATTTTTATCTTTCGTTTAGTTCATATGGTATACCACATTGGTTGATGTTCATATATTGAACTATCTTGGTACTCCAGGAGAAAATTCCCACTTGGTCAGGGTGAGTGATCATTTTAATATGCTATTGAATTTGGTTTGCTAGTATTTTGGGGGGATTTTTTCTCATAGATTCATCAGGGATGTTTGGCTATAGTTTTTTCTTGAGGTGTCTTTGTCTGACTTTGGTAATGCTGGCCTCATAAAATAAGTTTGGAACTGTTGCCTCTTTTTCGATTTTTTGGACGAATTTAAGGAGGGTTGGCATTAATTATTTTTTAAATGTTTGGTAGAATTCACCAGTGAAGCTATCTGGTTCTGGACTTTTCTCTGTTAGGAGGTTTTCATTACTAAATCAGTCTTCTAACTCGTCCTTCCGTTAAGATTTTTCTGTTTCTTCATGCTTTAGTCTTGCTAAGTTTTATGTTTCTAGGAATCTATTAATTTCTTCTAGGTTACTCAGTTTCTTGGCATATAATTATTCATAGTAAACTGTTATAATCTTTATATTTCTGTGATGTCAGTTGTAATGTGTCCTCTTTATTTTCTGATTTTATTTACTAAGTCTTCTCTCTTTTTTCCTAGTTTAAAGATTTGTTAATCCTGTTGATCTTTTCAAAAAACTAAGTCATATTTTTGTTGGTTTTTTTCTATTGTTTTTCTATGCTCTACTTGTAAATATTTCTGCTCTAACCTTTATTTTGTTTTTCCTTCTTTTAACTTTGAACTTAAATTGTTCTTCTTTCCTAGTGTGTTGAGGTACAAAATTGTTGTTTATTTGAGATATTTCTTCTTTTTTAAATGTAGACATTGTCACACTTCCCTTTAGGTACTGTTTTGGTTGTATCCGATAAGTTTTGGTATATTAGGTTTCTATTTGTCTCAAAGTCTTTTATTTTCCATTTTTATTTCTTCTTTGACCCATTGCTTATTTAGGAGTTCATTGCTTAATTTCCATTATTTGTAGATTTTCCCATTTTCCTTCTGTTGTTGATTTCTACTTTTATTCCCTTGTAATCATATAATATACTTGGTATGATTTCAATCTTCTTAAATTTATTAAGACTTTTTTGTGAGCTAACATATGACGTATCCTGAAGAATATTCTATGTGCCCTTGAGAAGAATGTGTATTCTGCTACCGTTGGGTGGAATGTTTTGTATATGTCTACTAGTTCCATTCATCTACAGTGTTGTTCGAATTTTGTTTCCTATTAATCTCTCTGGATGTTCTATCAATTACTGAAAGCGGGATATTGAAGTCTCCTACTATGATTGTGTTGCTCTCTGTTTCTCCTGTCAGTTCCGTCAATGATTCCTTCATATATTTCGGAGTGTTGATGTTGATAGTATATACATGTATAATTGTTATCTTCTAATGAACTGGTCCTTTTATAATATACAATGTCCTTCTCTGTCTCTTGTGTCATTTTGGATTTAAAGTCTCTTTTCTTTGATGTAGCTATGGCTACCCATGATTTTTTTGGTTACCATTTGCATGGAATATCTTTTTCATTGCTTCACTTTCAGTCTACCTATGTTACTAAATTTAAAGTGAGTCTCTTGTAGAGAGAATGTAGTTAGCATGTAGTTGGAACTTATTTTTTCCTTTACTTTTCATTTTTCTTTTATTTTTGTTAATCAATTAGCCACTCTATGTTGTTTGATTGGAAAGGTAATTAATTTAGATTTAAAATAATTACTGATAGGGAAGGGCTTTCTATTGTTATTTTCTCAATTGTTTTCTGTATATTTTGTAGCTTTTTGTCTCTCCTTTTTCTTTTGCTGTCTTCCTTTGTAATTTGTTGAATTTCTTTTTTGTAGTGACAGGCTTTGATTCATTTCTCATTTTCTTTTTTGTGTCTTCTATAGCTATTTTCTTTTTGGTTATTATAGGGCTTAGATAAAAGATCTTATAGTAATGACAATATATTTTAGGCTGATGACAACTGAATTTCAATTACATAAAAGCACTCTACACTTTTACTTTCCCCCCACAATTTATTAATGTCACGAATTACAGCTTTGAATATAGTTATTTATTAACGTATTTTATAGTTAGAATTAATGTGTATTCTTTTATTTTTTAACTCCTATACCCAAATTAAAAGTTATTTTTACACCTTCATTGCAGTATTAGTATTCTGTATTCTTCTATATATTTAAATTATAAGAAAGCTATATAGTTTCATATGCTTATGTGTTGCTGACCAGAGTACTTTCACTTTGAAATGGGAAAGGTTTTCCCTTATCCCCCTCGCAGGGCATGCAACAGGAGAAGTGGCTTGCTTCTTTGGTGCCCCACAGATCACACCCCTAGAGGGAGCATGTAGGCAGACAAGTCTTGGGGACCGTGGGCACCAACCCCACTGCAGGGTCTAGGGATGAGTGTTTACAGCTCCCAAAGCCCCAGCGGGTGTGTGTTACGTGTGCTCCTTTGGCTTAGCAATCGGCAGGTGGCTTGTGTTAATCAGCTCAATTAGACATTCTGCCTCATCACAAGGAGAGAGGGCTTTCTGCATCCCAAGGTTTTTGTCCTAGGGTACTGGAAAAATTGGATCACACGTGGGCTTGGAGAATGAGTGCAAGTGGTGGAAGTAGCTCTCAGCAGATGGATGGGAGCCAAAAGGGAGATGGAGTGGGAAGGTGATCTTTCCCTGGAGTCCGGCTGCTCAGCAGCCAAGCTCTTCTCTGATGGCCCTCAACCAAATTTCCCTCACCATCTGCGTCATTCTGCCTTTGATGACCTGCCAGCATCTATCAGTGTGTTCTTCTGCTGATATGTTCCTCTTGATGTCCAGCCACTTGTGTCTGTGCCCACTATGGTCACAGGTTTTTTATAGGCACAGGATGGGGGACATAGCAGACCAAAGTTGTCTTGAAAAATGCAACATTTGAGCATGAAAACAGGAGTGCCTATTCTCACTTAGGTCTGTGGGCAGAGGCCGGAAGGTGAAGCCCTCACCAGGGACCCCAATGTTTTCTACCCAGGACTTCCCTTCCCCCATCCTGTACCAATTTCGATTTAAAGAACATTCTTTAGCATTTATTGTAAAGCAGGTCTAGTGGTGATAAACTCCCTCAGCTTTTGTTTACATGGGAAAATCGTATTTCGCCTTCATTTTTGAAGGATGATTTGCCAGATACATTACTCTTGCTTTGTTGTATTCTTATTTCAGTACTTTAAATATATAATTCCACTTCTTTCTTGCCTGTAAAGTTTCTGATGAGAAATTCACTAATAGTCTTATGATGAGTCCCTTGTATTTGATAAGTCAATTTCCACTTGCTGCTTTTAAAATTCTCTCATTATCTTTGACTATTAACTTTTTGTTATAACGTGTCTCTGTGTTCATTTATTTGGTTCAATGTTAGTTGGAATCTATTGCACTTTATGAATCTGGATGTTTATTTTCTTTCTCATCTTTGAGAAGTTTTCAGCCATTAATTTTTCAAAATAGCTTTCTCCTCCTTTCATTCCCTCTTCTCTTATAGGACCCCCACAAATAAGTTTTTCGTTTCAGTGATTGTATTCCTCACCTCCAAAATTTTATTTTTTTCTTATATTTTCTAGCTCTTTGTTGATATTCTTCTTCATATATAATTTTTGCCAGCTCATTAAGCATCCTTATGATGGTTATTTTGAATTGTCATGTACTTTACATACCTCTTTTTTTTAGGGTCATTTTCTGGGAATTGTTTTTCTTGATGGGGCCATGTTTCTTTATTTCTTTGTGTGCCTTGTAATTTTATGTTGTTATCATTCATTTGAAAAAAAATCTCTCCTAGTGTTTATAAATTAGCTTTGTACAGGGGATGACTTGTACCATTCAGTTGGGCTAAATATTCTCAGGGCTTCTCAACTTTTCTTGTGGATGTGTTGTGTCTTAACTTATGTGTGCACATTTCCAGTTTGAGAGATTAGCTGGTTTCTTCATTCAGGAGCTGGTAATCTCTTGCTCCTTTTGGTATCTGTCTGCAGTACTCTAACTTCTCTAGCGCTACAATAAGTGACCTATATCCCTTTTGCCTTCACTAACTCCTAGGCTTCTAGAATTTGCCAAGCTTCATTAGTGCTTCAAGGCCTGTTAGAAAGAAATGAGCTCCTCAGCACCTCCCTGAAAAGCCAAAATATTGAACACACACTTTACTCTTCTCTTACCCCCATGAGGGAGAGACAACCAAGCTGTTTTGTTCTCTACCTGCTGTGCCATGTGTCCTCTGCAGCAGCCACGAGCCACTCAACTCTTTCTGTTCTTAGCAGCCCCCAGCCATCTAGAGAATGCTGGGTCTTGCACGCACTCCAAAACAAGAGAAGAAGAATCCAGTTTCTAGTGCAGCCCCTCAAAAAGCTAGAATGTAGGACCCACACTTCCATTATTTATCTTCCATGAAAGCATCTGGGAGTTGGGAGGCTTCTCTCATTCTTTCCATGCTGGGCTAGTGGCAGGAACTATGGTGAGGAAGAGAGTATTAGTTCAAACTATTGCTTTTGTTATTGATGATCCCCAAGCTGGTGCCCTTTTCTGTCAGTGCTTAGACGCAGGTAAGAAAGAAACTGCTGAGATGCAGTTTCTTTGGCAGGTACCCCAAAATTCTGAAAAATGGGCATATGTTTCTGTCTTTTCTTTTCTTCCCCCAGGGAGAATTTGAGAGCTGGAACTTTCCTCTGAGTCCCACTGTGATAAGGTGGGAGAAGGACTGTGGTGAACAAGTGCAATAAATTTTCCTAGTGACTTTGATGTGGCTGGTTCTGCGCTCATCTGGATTGCAGAAGCCTCTTAAATGGTTTTTGGATTTTTCACAAATGAATAGGTTCATGTATTGTTGAATCATTGCCTCTATGTAGGGAAAAACTGTCTGGGACTTCCTATTCTGCCGTCCCACTGACATCAATCTCCCTTATATTCACATTCTCACATTAAATATGGTATTAAATTAAAGGATATTCCTGCAGTTAAAATTAAAATGCTTATATTTACCTCTTTCTCAAAGCACATTAAGGGAATCTAATTTTAAGCCCATTAAAAAAATCGCTTTGTCCCCCACCTCCCTTGCTGATGCTACTCTTACAGAAGGCCTTATAAGGCCTGCTTATATCTAAATCTCTCACCCTCAATTTCCATAAAAATGTTCGGAATACTCAGCAGTTCCAGCTATTTTCATATCTTTCTCCCTTTATTTTTTACTTCAGCTGCTTTTAGTTTTCCTACACATTGATTATTGAGGGGACTCTCTATAATCATACAATAGAAAGGATCAAGATCTATGAGTAAATATCCTCCCTGCTTAGGGAATGTCAGAAATGGAATATAGAGTTAATTAAGGAAAAGGGACTTTGTGCCTTCTCACATGTGGCAATAGTTTAACCTCCATTCCTCCTTATGCTGCTTGTCTTTATTTTTATTCTTTTTCTTTCCCTTCATGCTACCTTTTTTCTTCTTTATATATTTTCCTTCTTCCTTTATTTTATCCATCCTTTTTATCTCATCTTTAGCATATTCTCCTATCTGAGATTCTTTTCGAAGTCAAGCAGAATATTTATTAAATAAATATAATACCTTTGTGTTGTTCATTTGACCATAAAACATACTTTAATTTTGATCACTGTATAGGTTATTATTATTTTGTACGTCCTCTTTTGCAAGTGGTTAAGATTACAAAGCCAAGAAGTATCAAATAAACTCAAACCAGATTTTATTACAAACTACCTACCCTTTCCGCTATATTATGATGTTAAATTAGCTCTCAGTAAAGACATGAAGGAATTTTCTCACCTCATATTAGAGATCATAAAATACAAGCTCAATAATTTCTACTTTGCGGAGTTCTTCTGAGATATAAGAGAAGAAATGTAAGTAAGATGATATTGTACCCAATACATTATAACTACTCAATATATGATAATATCATTTAAAGTAATACAGAAGGAGAATTATGAGAGAAGCACTATATCTATCTTAGAGAAGAGAAGATAGGAGGAATTTATTACAGATTTTGAAAGCTATCATACTGGAAACATTTTTAGTGAAAAAGTTTTAGGCAATATTTATGTTTTCAAAAATTCCTGTTGGTAAATTTATATATATGTCTGCAATATTTAATATTGCAGTTTTATTTTCAAGTTGGGTCTTTGTGGTTGGATGCATATTTCTTTCTCTTTCTTTCTATCTGTATGTGTTTGTATGTGTGATTAAGCTGTAACATACAAATATACGTGGGTATATTTTACTTCATTATGACCCAACGTCTATACAGTGATTATTCAAATTACTCCTAGCCAAGAATTACATACAACTTTTAGCACTTCAGTGAATAGACCTAGGCTTCTAACATTTTAAATTATTCTACCAGATTTTTGGAATACTTACGTGATTTTATTGTTTACTATAATTTTTATGTCTTCTTATAACAGCTTCTCTCCACTTCAGCCTTTCATTTCCTCTTAGATGCTGTGGCTTGGGAATATGATTATCACTTAACTGAAATGTGTCTCTAAATTACAGATAAATTGGCTCTTAGTAAGGCCTTAAGGGTCTCCTCTGCGTTGCAAAGTGAATAAACTCAGTGAAGACCCTTTCTGCCATTCAGAAGCCTTTTCTACATTATACTAAATTTTTCACCATATTCCGGAGAATTGGGGTTGTCTCAAATTTCTGTACACCATCTACATCCACTCACAAGTCTGTGTTGACATTTAGCCACCATCTGCTCTGTACATGAACTTTGCTTTTTTCATATACTCTGTTAAGATCTGTATCGGATTTTCTATATTAGCATTCCAAGTTTTTGTCTGCACACCTTATATGTACTGTTGCTGGGAATTAAACTCACTTGAATATTAGTTCAAAAGCCAACCCAGTCATAAGATATGACTGAAGCACAGGAAGCAAGTCTTGGCAGTAAGTGGTTCTTTTCTTGCCTGCTTTGGCAGGTGCTCAGAAACCCACTTCAACTCACACATCAATCTTGAAATGCTAATTCCTTTGGTAATCATCAAAAGCCATTGCTGGTATAATTTTTGGAGAAAGAATTATGCCTCAGTGGTTTGATGTTACCATAATTACACATTTGGTGTTCAAATGACTGTATCTGCATTGTGAGTAATTGTCCTCAGGCTCATTCCCTCCCCCTCCTATTTCCTCGCCTTGTGCCTGTGTGCCATTCCCTTTAGTCAGAGTGACTTTTGTGACTCAGGTACAAGATCTCCCAGTCATAAAGAGATACTCTGATTACCTTTTGTCCTTGTCTTTTTAAGAATTCCCTTTATCTTTGAGCTCTGTGTGACTATTACTTCCTGGGAAGTCACGGTGTGAAGGGGTGGCTAGACAAAGGCAGATTCAGGAATTTCTTGGGCCAATGACCAAAATAACATCAAAAATCATGATAAGAGGCAGATACGTGGTGAAGTTAATGAAACTTAGCTTCAAGCTCCTTCCTCACAAGGTACCTTTCGAAACCCAACACTGTACCTGCTGTTTCGGATTATTTTATTTAAAGACCTCCAAGCTGCAATAAACTGTAATTGTTATAAGATCCAGTCCTCATCATGTGGATGCACATTGTTGATGAAGATCCTTAATAATTTCCTTCTCTTTTTTCCTTTTATCCTTCCCTTAATAAAACTCGCCATTTCCTTAATCCTTCATTTTCTTTTCTCCCTCTCATTTTCTTTCTTTTAAATCTCTTGCCTTTTTTTCATTTTTTTCTATATTGTGATAACATAGAACATTTGCATTTAACTCTCATAATTACAATTTGTATTTATTATGTGTCTAAAAATATACCCCTTTTGGGACATTAGCAATTATTAGTGCTTTGATTCTTTTCTCATAAACACAATTTGCACACATGGATATTCACCTTTTTCAAAACTATATAGAATACTCATCTCCAACTAGGACTTCAAATGAGTTTATCAAGAAGAAACCCACAATATTTGTACCTGTTAAAATATTTCGTGAGACCAGCACAATACAAGAATAAAGCTCTATTAAAGTTCCTGAAAGTTAGTTCACATACCTCTTTTTTTTTCTTTTTTTTTTTTTTTTTGAGACAGATTCTCACTCTGTTGTCAGGCTGGAGTGCAGTGGCACGATCTCAGCTCACTGCAATCTCTGCCTCCCAGGTTCAAGTGATTCTACTGCCTCAGCCGCCCAAGTAGCTGGGATTAGAGGCACGCGCCACCACACCCAGCTAAATTTTTTTTTTGTATTTTTAGTAGAGAAGGGTTTTCACCATGTTGGCCAGGATGGTCTCAATCTCCTGACCTCGTGTTCTGCCTGCCTTGGCCTTCCAAAGTGCTGGGATTACACGCATGAGCCACTGCGCTCAGCCCAGTTATTAATATTTATTTTGACATGAGAAAGAGGCATGTTAGCTGTACATTATATATTCCAATCTGAAATTGGGTGCAGTGCAATAAAATAATTTTTAATTTATTGTTAAAGTAAGGTATATTCTAATATATACTTTGATCATGAAAAATATCAGCATGAATTATCAAATAGAATCTTGTCATGTAATTTATAACACACTCATGAGAAAATATTCAAGTGCCTTCTATAAATTACAACCTTGATGAATTAGACATGGATCCACCCATCGTGGAAATTTTAATGATACAAAATGAAGCCATTCATGCAAAATAATTAGATGTGCAACTGAGTGATTTTTGTACTTGATTGATCATCAGTAATCACCTGGCCACTTTTTTTCCTTTAATACAGATTTATGTTCCCTATTCCAGATGTATTGAATCAAAACCTCTGAAGTTGCAAACATATGAACTGTACTTTCACAAACACCACACATTATTCTGATAATCAATCATAAAGAATAATTACTGAGAAAATAATATCTGGGCCTTTAGAGGAAGGAAAAATAGCTGCAGGCTCTCATGGCCATGAAGAAGGAGATACTTGACTAGTGAAGAGCTGGTAGTACTTACTAAGCACAGAGTATTCAGAAGAGAATTCTCAGCAGGAGAAATGGAAAAAGTAAATGTCTGAAGGTGGATAAGTAAAAGTCATTCGGAAATAGTAAAGAGATTCAATTATCAGAAATTAATGATACTTGGTGAGAAGCAGAAGATAAAGCAAGTACTTTAAGTAAAGTCTAGATGGTGAAGAATGTTAATGCCAAGAAAGAGAAAAAATGAAGGGTTTAATGAGTCAGATAGTGTTGCATGTTTCACAGTAGGACTACCATAATGAAAGCAACATCTTAAAAAAATTATCAGAGTTCAGTTAACAGGTCTATACAGGTTGGAGTGGTAAAAATCTAAATTGCCTTTCTACACAAGACACTAAATGATTTTAATCTTGATCTTTCTATGACCATTGTATGTGATTCCTCATATTTATGGGGATATGTATAAACAGGGTGATATGTTCCTGAAAATTTAACCAAATCAAACATAAAAGTGCCATGCATTGAATATACCAAGAGATGGTTTCTTATTTAGTCTATCTACATCTCTTATTGACTTATGGGAGATCTAGACTGCCAAAATTCTAATAATGTTTCTTTGTTCCAGTGTGGTCCTGGAGAATACAAATAGATTATCTCTTATTTTGGAAGTTTGAAATATCTGGAAGACTGGCAGTAGAAACATTTCTCCATAGCTTCTTTTAGATTTACTAGCACAATGATTCTCAACAGAAGTGAAGCAGCAGTACTGGGGGGTGTCACAAACATTTTGTGTAGAGAGCCAGGGATACTATGTGAGGGATGGTCTTGCTAAACAAATAATTCCTTTCCAAAATGCCAGCAGTGTCCTATTGAAAAACCACTTAGTAATTGAGTAGTTTTGAGTGTGGGCTTGGAGTAAAACAGACCTGCTTTTGAGTTCAAAGTATACTACAATTCATTTGTTACTTTGGACAGTTGACATAATCTCTGTAAGCCTCAGTTAACTCTTTTGTTAAAGGGAGAAAAAACAATACCTACACACCGAGGTTTTGTGACAATCAAGCAAGACAATGGTTCTAAATGATTTAGCATAGTATCTGGAACACAGTAAGCAGTTAAGAAAAATTACCAGTGTTAGTGGTTATTGAGTGGCTGTTAAGTCCCTAAACTGAGTCCAATCCTCTAGTCACCCTGAACTTCCATATTTCTCCCAGGCTGATTCTATTCTCAACAGCAAACTATGCACAGAGTTAGAGCTCATGCAAATCAATTATTGAGCATCAGTGTTCATTCCTGTACTATATGAGAATACACTGGGCTTACCATTCTTCACTTGTCATCAAGATTATGCCTATAGGAAATTCTAGGAGTTCAAATTCCTTGATCTCTTCTCTGTTGGATACTCTAATCACTTAACATTGTTGCCGTTGTGCCCAGAGGATATTTGACATGGACCACACTAGGCAAAAGCTTTCCTCTTATTCTTATTTCTGCCCTACATTTCCATTTCTGTCCTACATCTCTATCTACCATTCTAACTTGATAAACCCAGCTTGTCCTTTTGGAAATCTTAAGTACCTCTTCTATCCATATTCCTTCATTCATTTATTATTCCAACAAATATTTATTGGATACTTACTACATGCCAGGTATCTTCCTAGACATCAATGGTATAGCCCTGTGAAAAAGAGATGTGGTATCTGCCCTCATCCAGCATTCATTCTAGTGGAGGAGGCAGATGATGAAAAACAAACCAAGTAAATAAATAATATAAGGTAATTTCAGAGAGGCAAAAACATGGTCAAAAAATGAGACAGGATACCTTGATAATGACTAATAAATAGAAGTGGGAAAATATGGTTCTTCTTAAGAAGGCCATATTCTTCAGACAGGGTCTCGCTCTGTCTCCCAGGCTGAAATGCAGTGGTGCAATCAGAGCTCACTGCAGCCTTGACCTAGGCTCAAGCTATCCCGCTGCCTCAGCCTCCCGAGTAGTTGGGACTACAGATGCATGCCACGAAACCTGGTGATTTTTTTTTTAAATTTTTGTAGAGATAGGTCTCACTGTGTTGCCTGGGCTGGTCTCAAACTCTTAGGCTCAAGTGATTTTCCTGCCTCAGCCTCCCAAAATTGTGGGATTACAGACATGAGTCACCATGCCTGACCATGAAGGCCCTTCTGAGGGGACATTTGAGCTGTAACATGAAGGGCTGTCTAAGTAAAGATCTATGGGTGGGGAAGGGAAAGTTTTACAGGTAAATGTCCTGAGCCTTGAACTTTCAAAAAACAAAAAAGAAGAATGAGTGCAGTCATTAAACAATACTAAAAGGGAAATTGTAGATAAGGTCACAAATATAGACAGCGGCCCACTCATGTGCCATGTAGGGGTTTGAATTTTATTCTAAGTCCTGGAGCAGACACAGTGCTAAGCAGACTTCACCATTTCACTCTGCTATCTCCCCACTGTGATCCTATTTAGCTTTCTGGGGGTGAGAGCACCTTCTGTGTTTTCCTCCCTCCCCCAGCACCCTCTGTTCCACAAGTCCGGAGCAAAATGGATGCAGAGGAATGATTCTGCAACCACTTCCCTGTTCCCATCTTTTCCTCAGGCCATAACAACCACCTAAACAATATATAAAAAGGCCTTAATTCTGGTACATATTAAATAAAACATGTGAGATTAGGACAGGCTTCCTAAGGTATGTGTTGAAAGAGATGGAGGATTTGGACTTATTGTGAGGATAGCACAGAGCATTGCACCTGCTAGTTGGCCTTTATAGTAATAGGACAGCTTATTGCGACTTTTTCTTTCTCACCTGACATTTAACAGCTAACATGTTTTAAGTGCTTACTGTGTGCCTAGCAGCATGCCAAGTGCTTTGCCAGAGCCTGGGTAACAGACGGGTTTGTGACATGTGTACCCAAAATTGGATAAATTTTTTCCTCAAAGGTGACAGATGCTATAACAAAAATACTTGTCTTAAAACCTTAGCCATTTTCTGTTCTAGGAACAGAATCAGTTTTGAGGCTCTTTGTTTGTTTGGTTGGTTTAAACCCTAATGTGACTGAGTAGAAGAAAGCTTAAAAAGCAGAGGTGCTACAGAAATGTTTTTTCTTTCTTTTCTGGCTCATGAAAAAAGAGTAAAAGTGATGCTTTTCTTAGTTTCTCCAAGAGATATCCACTCAACCTCACTAAAAATAACTAGACTTTTAAATATCTTGTGTGGCCTGTTTTCTCTAAGGAGTAGTTTCCCTGCTACTTCAGAGGAAACTTTTGAAAAAGCACCTATGAGTGACAAACAATAATAGATTGCACTCTGAACCATGCATCCAAGCAAATAAAATAGGCTTTCAAACCTTAATTGATCAAAGCTCACAGCAGTCATCTGGACCTCATGCTTGCTTTTTGGCTTGATGTCAATAAAACATTTTCAGGGCCAAAAATATTATGCAAACTATTGGCCAACTTTCCTCATGTTACTGAGCTCTCATTGACTGCAAATCCCTTTTCGTTACTGTATTATTATAGGGCTGACTGCGATGTCAACGTGTTCAAGTGCAGTCAGCAAGAGGAAAAGGCACAGAAATTGAATTTGCTAGCTCAGCGTTCCTTAAGCCCTCTTTACTAGCTTGCCTCCCTCTTTGTAGTATCAGTCCTTATTCCACCGTATTCTTTTAATAAATAAGGTTTGAATAATTGAACCTGGGCAGTGGATTTCTTCCTTCCTGTTTGATGTTCCTCAACTTACTGTTACTATTACATGTGACAATTTTATGCATACACATGTGACTATTTTTATGCAGATTAATATTTGTGGCTTAAAAATGATGAGAAGTGAAATACAGTGAGGATGGATTGATGATAGACAATAGAGATTATGGAACTCTGAAGAATAATTTGGACAATATTCCCAGGATATGGATCTTAAATACTTTGGAGTAGCACGCAAAAGTAACACAAAGTATTTAGAGTCCAGTCAAATCTGGGTGGAAATTCAGGCCAACCACTGAACCATGAGATCTTGGATTAGTCAATTCACTTGTCTATTGTCTATAGCTTAATTTCTTGACTAATATGGTGCATATAATTGATGATAGTCAATGAGCACAAATACGTAAAATGCCAAACAGAAGACAGACATGTTACCAAATGCTATTTACCCTTTTAATAGTCTGGGTCCAATCGAAGAACTTATGTAAATGTAGGTTGAATGAAGATGAGCCTGATTCTTAAACTGATGATTTTTCTGTGAATATATGTAGCAGTATAAATCTCATTCTATATGTTCAATAATCAATAACACATTTGTATTTTTAGTTTTGTAAATATCACATTTATCTTTCTCAAAGATATCACATTTCTATTTGTTAAGAATACGGACTATCTTTTTTGTGTATCAATAATATTCCATGGGTATATGTACCACATTTTTTATCTGTTCATACATTGATGGACACTTATATTGATTCCATATCCTGACTACTATGAATAGTGTTGTAATAAACATGGGAATGCAGACATCTCTGCAATATATAAAATGAAATCTTGTAATTTGCAACCACATGGATAAAACTGGAGGACATTATGTCAAGTGAAATAAACCAGGCAGGGAAGGACAAATTTCACATGATCTTAGTCATATGTAGGAACTTAAATTTTTTTTAATTGAACCCATGAAAATATAGAGTGGAATGATGATTACCAGAAGCTGGGAAGGGGAGTGGGGAGGGGTGGATAAAGTGGGGATGGTTGAAGCGTACAAAAATATGCTTAGGTAGAATTAATAAGATCTAGTATTTTGTAGCAAAACAGGATGATTACGGTTAACAATAATTTATTGTAAATTTTAAAATAACTAAAAGAATAGAATTAGAAATTTCCTGAAAAAAAAGAAATGACAAATGTTTGAGGTGATGGATACCCCAAATGCCCTGATTTGTTCATTATATATTCTGTGCCTGTACCAAAAAGTCATGTGTACTCCATAAATATATACAACGATTATGTATCCATAATAATATAAAAGAGAAAAAAGACTATTGGGTTTATATGTTTTTTAATAAACAAGCTAATTTTGAATTTCTCTCTTGCTGGAATAGTAGGTAAGCTGAATTTGCACATTTCTAGAGCCACCTCCTAGCCTTGCGCCATGAGTTGTGGGGTTTTATGTCAAACCAAGTTATCATCCTCCTCCAACCCAGCTGTCATTGTTTTTCATCTGTAATTCTGAGACTTGCCTTTTTCCTATATCAATGGTCCTCTCAGACCTGGTAGCTATGTGTAGATTCTGTGCTACACTGGGAATACAACACTCTTTCGCGAGGACAGACATCTAATATCTGGTGTCTTAGGCACTCTGTAACTATCCTGCTATTTCTCTGTGTTGCTGCAAAAGATCTTAGTTTTTCAAGTACTACCCCGTCGCTATAGACTTCTTTCCCCCAGCTAATTCCAAGCCACTCTGCTTCTATTGAGAAATATGCTTTTCTTCTCTTTTAGCTCCTCTGAAAGCTCTCACTATGTTTCTAAGAAATTGAGTTTTGGGAAAATAAAAGTCAGAAATATACACAGGCTATTTCTGCCTGCTGTTGCTATGTACTCCTGGGAGTCAGTGAAGTATAAAGATAGGCGTTTGAATGGAGGGAAAGGAAAGGGAAATCAGAGAAAGAAAGAAAACCTAATATCTTAATATTTCAAAATATATTGGCCTAATATATTACGAAAATACCACAAAGATGATGCACCAAAGAATGTTTATGTAGTTAAGGAAGAGTTGGAGAAAGAAGGGAAAGAGAAGAAAGAGGAAGAAGAGGAAGAGAAGAAGAAGGAGAAATGTGTACATGCTGGTTCCCAAGGATGTTGGTTTAGGTGAAAAACACTGAATGATTTGGACTACTGGGCTTGGTGGGCTTTCAACTCCCTGTCATGTTGTAGTTCTTAGGGTAGACTCACTCCTCTGAGTGTTCAAAAATCTCTATTGAACTGTTCAGTACTTCGATAATATTTTCATATTATTTCAAGTCAGTCTTTCCAGCATGTAAGTCCCTACCGTCCTAATTTATATTTATCATGATTTTTTTTTGCAGATCTCTAAGATAATACCTAATGGTTTTGAATTTGTAAAATTTTATCCTTGATTTGGCTTAATAAATACGTCTCCTTCTTTTTTTGAGCACCATAAATAAAGTTCTATGTATCCTAGAGTTCAATTTAACACTATTATCTTGGGAAAAATAAAATCAAATTGTGTAAGGCTCATTAAATGGAAATGAATAAAGTCTGATAAACCCATATGAGAGAAAAAAACTATTCAATATTTAAAACTTACTGTGTAAAAGAACAATTAAATAAAACATAAAATTGAATCTATTATAATCTTTTTGTGTTATATCTGTGTACATATGGCGTGTTTGTGTGTGTGTTTATTAAAACTAAATGTTTTCTGGGAAGCTCAGTTATACAGAACATTTTCTTCTTTTTGTTTACTTATTTTTTAATATTTCTACAAAAACATAAACTAATATTGAAAAATGAGAAAAACATCAAATGTTATTTTGATAATTGCTCAGTACTTATTTCAATGACTGGAGACACCCTAAACTGTCCCAAATCAGAGATGTCAGTCACAATTTAGACAACCTGTGTTCACATATCTGTTTTGTTAAATACTGAATATGTGGTCTCAGCTAAACTGCTTAACCTCTATTTTTTTAAAAAATAGGAGTTACTTTCTACCTCATGTTTCAAGAATTCAATAAGATACAACATATAAAATGTTTGCATATTATCAACCACATAATAGATCAGCAATAAACATTTATTTACTGCTCTTCCTCTTGACTCTTAATTAGGGAGGCATCAGAAGCAGTAAAATTGGCACAGAATTCCCATAAAAGAAAACTGGAATCAAATGAAAGCTTGGCAGATATTAGACATGCCCTAGGGCAAGGTCCCCAGTATCTCTGAGCTCTTGTTTTCTCATCTATAAAATAAGAATAATTGTTCTACCTCCCTCACAGGGAAGTAATGAGGATTATATAAGATGATGTACATAAAAAACCCAGCATAATACAGTGCTGGGCACACTGCAAGGGGTCAACAAACATTAGCTCCTTCTAGCTTTCCCAGCAATTAAAGAGCTAACATTTAAATGAAAAATATCAGAGTGTACCATAGAAAATTGCAAGGATGAAGGGACTATCAGGGACTATTGCAATGACGAGGGAGAGCTAAGGAGAGTTGGAGAGGCTTTGTTTGAAAACAAAGCAGGCCAAGAGTTATGACTTTGACAGTGACCTAGATAGTATTTGAGCTTCCAAAGCTTCAGCTAGTAAGCATGTTCCACACTGTTAGTGATATTACATAACTGGAAAGAATATGATCTATGTATTTCAAAATAGAACCTTCCTCTAAAATTATCATTGATTTAACTTGTTCCTGTCACCTTTGAGTTATTTTAAATTTTTAAATAAATCTAAAGGATATTGCAAGATTTTCATTTTAATTAAAAAGTGACATGGGTTTTTAAAAAATGTGGAAAAAAGAGTTTTCAATCTTATTATGCAGGAGAGGAAATTTTCGAAGATGAAATTCATCCCTATGCAGTTTTTTAGTCTTCTATCTTGAAAAACTTTAAATATTATATCCAACCCCCTTACTTTGCCAGATGGAAAAACTGAGTTCTAGAACAGGTAATCATTTCCTTTAGAGTTACATAGCAGCTGAATGCAAGAACTGAAATGTAAACTCTTGTGATAGTACAATTCTCACTACATCCCTGCATGCCTGTCTCTGTGCTTTTCTCTGTTTCTCTCTTGTTCAGTACATACATGTGTGTGTTGTGCACGTATATGTATAATTCCTAATTGTGTGTCTTTATACTTGTGTCTGTGTATATGCATATATAATTGATAATTGTGTATCTTAATACATATATAAATTGTGCACATGTGTATGTGTACAGGGAGTGTGTAAGGGACAGAGAAAAAAATTACTTTCCTGTCTATGAGAGGTTATTAGCCCATACTCTAAAGCATAAGGTTTAATAGATCTCTCTAAAGTTGTTTAAGTCAAGGTAGCACTTAAGAATGGACATTTTATTCCTGGTCATGTAAATATTCCTGTGTCAAGTCTCTCTAAAACAATCTCTTCCTTTGTTTGATGTATTTACATAGCATCTCTCTCTGTGGTTTCTCTCTGCACATCTAGTCCTGAGAGTTCAGGCTATGAATAATAAAGCTGCAGAGGCTGTGCTTGGCTTGCCTAGTTGCCAGTTGAGAAATTGTAATTTGTATTGATTAGTAAATTTACTCTCTTCAAAAGCACATCAGAAAGCCCCACTGGAGTCAGAGTTTCTGCTGTATTAGTTCAAGGACACTCTTGAGAAAAGAAATGTGTTTTCAGTAAGACTGAGTCCTCTATCACAAAGAAGAGAAAGAATATCCTGAAGTGTTGCTTGAAATAGTCAGCATTCTCTCAACCAAAGACAAGATACACCCAGTAGAGCTGGTTCATGTTTTTTCAGGTAATAAGACTGCTATTTACCTTTCACTAGATCACAGCCATGGAAGTAGTCTGTGCATGCCAGAGTGGGAGATGACAGGGTGTCTTGGAACACTGGAAGGAAAGAGATTGTCTGGCTAAAAGTTATACAACCTGGGTGTAGGTCCCTAGTCTGCCATTTACCAGAAGCAGCTAAGGCCAGTCACTGAACCCTCACCTGTAGATTCTACATCTGCAAAAAAAGGCAGGGCATTCCAGTATGGGATGGACACAGAATGTCCTTGAGTCCTCTTCCCACAAGGCCACTTCCATATGCTTTGCTTTGCTTAGATTGTTTAGAGGGTCTCAAAATGTGCTTCCCAGACTAGTAGGATTAATAGCAATTGATCATATGGGAATTTGTTATTGACGTGAATTTTCAGGCCCCATCCCAGACCTATTTATTAGAAACTCCAGGAATGGGGCTCAACAATTTGTGTTTCAGCCACCCCTCCAAGTGATTATGATGCTCACAGCATGTGAGAATTCCTTCCCTGGGTCATGTTAACTTATCCATTCATAGAGAAAACCTTCTCTGCAACACCATTTCCACATTATGGGCTATTTTGGCACTCTGTACTTTATAGCACCTGTTACTTTTGCCATTTACTGTTAATTGTGTCATTATTTAATTTCTCCAAAAGGGGAGGGCTGCTTTCTGGGTTGGCCCATCATTGTACTTTCATCCAGCAAAGCTGTTGCTGCATATCGTTAAAAAGCAAACTGAGGCACAATAAACATGTAACATCTATTTGAGTGAATAGTGATTCATGAATTGGGCAGCTCCAAACCAGAAGTGGTTCAAGAGCTCCATAGAGAGAACACAAAGGAACTTTTATAGGATAGACGCAAAAGTAAAGCAAAGAAAGAATTCGATTGGTTACAGTTATACAGTCGCCTTATTTGGTCTAGCCTATGCAAAGTCCCTAGTTGTATAAGTCAGTTGGATGCTTCTGATTCATTGAGCTAAAGTTCTGTTTTTCCTTAATATAGGCATTTACAAGAAATAACTCAAATTAAGTTTTGTTTATGCTTCTAAATCCAGCAAGGTTAAGGTCACTAATGAGGCATAACTGCCTTTGTCTACTCAAGGATTCTTCAGGCCTGGTCTTCATTTTAATTTATGTTAACAAAATGAACACAAAATTATTTGCTATTTTGATGAAAGCTACTGATCTTGAATGAATCGTTTATTCTTGCTGAGATTCAGTTTACTTCTCTGTAAAGTGGACACAATAAAACACACCTGAGAAGTTGTCACGTAAGTGAGCTAAGAAATAACAAATTCAGAGGAGCCAAGATGGCCGAATAGGAACAGCTCCGGTCTACAGCTCCCAGCGTGAGTGATGCAGAAGACGGGTGATTTCTGCATTTCCATCTGAGGTACCGGGTTCATCTCACTAGGGAGTGCCAGACAGTGGGCGCAGGTCAGTGGGTCCGTGCACCGTGCACCAGCTGAAGCAGGGCGAGGCATTGCCTCACTAAGGAAGCACAAGGGGTCAGGGAGTTCCCTTTCCTAGTCAAAGAAAGGGGTGACGGATGGCACCTGGAAAATCGGGTCGCTCCCACCCGAATACTGCGCTTTTCCGACGGGCTTAAAAAATGGCACACCAAGAGATTATATCCGGTACCTGGCTCGGAGGGTCGTATGCCCACGGAGTCTCACTGATTGCTAGCACAGCAGCCTGAGATCAAACTGCAAGGCGGCAGCGAGGCTGGGGGAGGGGCGCCCACCATTGCCCAGGCGTGCTTAGGTAAACAAAGCAGCCAGGAAGCTCCAACTGGGTGGAGCCCACCACAGCTCAAGGAGGCCTGCCTGCCTCTGTAGGCTCCACCTCTGGGGGCAGGGCACAGACAAACAAAAAGACAGCAGTAACTTCTGCAGACTTAAATGTCCCTGTCTGACAGCTTTGAAGAGAGCAGTGGTTCTCCCAGCACACAGCTGGAGATCTGAGAATGGGCAGACTGCCTCCTCAAGTGGGTCCCTGACCCCTGACCCCCGAGCAGCCTAACTGGGAGGCACCCCCCAGCAGGGGCACACTGACACCTCACATGGCAGGGTACTCCAACAGACCTGCAGCTGAGGGTCCTGTCTGTTAGAAGGAAAACTAACAAACAGAAAGGACATCCACACCAAAAACCCATCTGTACATCACCATCATCAAAGACCAAAAGTAGATAAAACCACAAAGATGGGGAAAAAACAGAACAGAAAAGCTGGAAACTCTAAAAAGCAGAGCGCCTCTCCTCTTCCAAAGGAACACAGTTCCTCACCAGCAACGGAAAAAAGCTGGACGGAGAATGACTTTGACGAGCTGAGAGAAGAAGGCTTCAGACGATCAAATTACTCTGAGCTACGGGAGGACATTCAAACCAAAGGCAAAGAAGTTGAAAACTTTGAAAAAAATTTAGAAGAATGTATAAGTAGAATAACCAATACATAGAAGTGCTTAAAGGAGCTGATGGAGCTGAAAACCAAGGCTCGAGAACTATGTGAAGAATGCAGAAGCCTCAGGAGACGATGCGATCAACTGGAAGAAAGGGTATCAGCAATGGAAGATGAAATGAAGAAAATGAAGCGAGAAGGGAAGTTTAGAGAAAAAAGAATAAAAAGAAACAAGCAAAGCCTCCAAGAAATATGGGACTATGTGAAAAGACCAAATCTACATCTGATTGGTGTACCTGAAAGTGACGGGGAGAATGGAACCAAGTTGGAAAACACTCTGCAGGATATTATCCAGGAGAACTTCCCCAATCTAGCAAGGCAGGTCAACATTCAGATTCAGGAAATACAGAGAACGCTACAAAGATACTCCTCGAGAAGAGCAACTCCAAGACACATAATTGTCAGATTCACCAAAGTTGAAATGAAGGAAAAAATGTTAAGGGCAGCCAGAGAGAAAGGTCGGGTTACCCTCAAAGGGAAGCCCATCAGACTAACAGCGGATCTCTCGGCAGAAACCCTACAAGCCAGAAGAGAGTGGGGGCCAATATTCAACATTCTTAAAGAAAAGAATTTTCAACCCAGAATTTCATATCCAGCCAAACTAAGTTTCATAAGTGAAGGAGAAATAAAATACTTTACAGACAAGCAAATGCTGAGAGATTTTGTCACCACCAGGCCTGCCCTAAAAGAGCTCCTGAAGGAAGCACTAAACGTGGAAAGGAACAACTGGTACCAGCCACTGCAAAATCATGCCAAAATGTAAAGACCATCGAGACTAGGAAGAAACTGCATCAACTAACGAGCAAAATAACCAGCTAACATCATAATGACAGGATCAAATTCACACATAACAATATTAACTTTAAATGTAAATGGACTAAATGCTCCAATTAAAAGACACAGACTGCCAAATTGGATAAAGACTCAAGACCCATCAGTGTGCTGTATTCAGGAAACCCATCTCACGTGCAGAGACACACATAGGCTCAAAATAAAAGGATGGAGGAAGATCTACCAAGCAAATGGAAAACAAAAAAAGGCAGGGATTGCAATCCTAGTCTCTGATAAAACAGACTTTAAACCAACAAAGATCAAAAGAGACAAAGAAGACCATTACATAATGGTAAAGGGATCAATTCAACAAGAAGAGCTAACTATCCTAAATATATATGCACCCAATACAGGAGCACCCAGATTCATAAAGCAAGTCCTGAGTGACCTACAAAGAGACTTAGACTCCCGCACATTAATAATGGGAGACTTTAACACCCCACTGTCAACATTAGACAGATCAACGAGACAGAAAGTCAACAAGGATACCCAGCAATTGAACTCAGCTCTGCACCAAGCAGACCTAATAGACATCTACAGAACTCTCCACCCCAAATCAACAGAATGTACATTTTTTTCAGCACCACACCACACCTATTCCAAAATTGACCACATACTTGGAAGTAAAGCTCTCCTCAGCAAATGTAAAAGAACAGAAACTATAACAAACTATCTCTCAGACCACAGTGCAATCAAACTAGAACTCAGAATTACGAATCTCACTCAAAACTGCTCAACTACATGGAAACTGAACAACCTGCTCCTGAACGACTACTGGGTACCGAACGAAATGAAGGCAGAAATAAAGATGTTCTTTGAAACCAACGAGAACAAAGACACAACATACCAGAGTCTCTGGGACGCATTCAAAGCAGTGTGTAGAGGGAAATTTATAGCACTAAATACCCACAAGAGAAAGCAGGAAAGATCCAAAATTGACAACCTAACATCACAATTAAAAGAACTAGAAAAGCAAGAGCAAACACATTCAAAAGCTAGCAGAAGGCAAGAAATAACTAAAATCAGAGCAGAACTGAAGGAAATAGAGACACAAAAAACCCTTCAAAAAATTAATGAATCCAGGAGCTGGTTTTTTGAAAGGATCAACAAAATAGATAGACTGCTAGCAAGGCTAATAAAGAAAAAAAGAGAGAATAATCAAATAGACGCAATAAAAAATGGTAAAGGGGATATCACCACCGATCCCACAGAAATACAAACTACCATCAGAGAATACTACAAACACCTCTACGCAAATAAACTAGAAAATCTAGAAGAAATGGATAAATTCCTGGACACATACACTCTCCCAAGACTAAACCAGGAAGAAGTTGAATCTCTGAATAGACCAATAACAGGATCTGAAATTGTGGCAATAATCAATAGCTTACCAACCAAAAAGAGTCCAGGACCAGATGGATTCACAGCCAAATTCTACCAGAGGTACAAGGAGGAACTGGTACCATTCCTTCTGAAACTATTCCAATCAATAGAAAAAGAAGGAATCCTCCCTAACTCATTTTATGAGGCCAGCATCATTCTGATACCAAAGCCGGGCAGAGACACAACCAAAAAAGAGAATTTTAGACCAATATCCCTGAGGAACATTGATACAAAAATCCTCAATAAAATAGTGGCAAAACGAATCCAGCAGCACATCAAAAAGCTTATCCACCATGATCAAGTGGGCTTTATCCCTGGGATGCAAGGCTGGTTCAATATACGCAAATCAATACATGTAATCCAGCATATAAACAGAGCCAAAGACAAAAACCACATGATTATCTCAATAGATGCAGAAAAGGCCTTTGACAAAATTCAACAACCCTTCATGCTAAAAACTCTCAACAAATTAGGTATTGATGGGACGTATTTCAAAATAATAAGAGCTATCTATGACAAACCCACAGCCAATATCATACTGAATGGGCAAAAACTGGAAGCATTCCCTTTGAAAACTGGCACAAGACAGGGATGCCCTCTCTCACCACTCCTATTCAACATAGTGTTGGAAGTTCTGGCCAGGGCAATTAGGCAGGAGAAGGAAATAAAGGGTATTCAATTAGGAAAAGAGGAAGTGAAATTGTCCCTGTTTGCAGACGACATGATTGTATATCTAGAAAACCCCATTGTCTCAGCCCAAAATCTCCTTAAGCTGATAAGCAACTTCAGCAAAGTCTCAGGATACAAAATCAATGTACAAAAATCACAAGCATTCTTATACACCAACAACAGACAAACAGAGAGCCAAATCATGAGTGAACTCCCATTCACAATTGCTTCAAAGAGAATAAAATACCTAGGAATCCAACTTACAAGGGAAGTGAAGGACCTCTTCAAGGAGAACTACAATCCACTGCTCAAGGAAATAAAAGAGGATACAAACAAATGGAAGAACATTCCATGCTCATGGGTAGGAAGAATCAATATCATGAAAATGGCCATACTGCCCAAGGTAATTTATAGATTCAGTGCCATCCCCATCAAGCTACCAATGAATTTCTTCACAGAATTGGAAAAAACTACTTTAAAGTTCATATGGAACCAAAAAAGAGCCCGCATCACCAAATCAATCCTAAGCCAAAAGAACAAAGCTGGAGGCATCACTCTACCTGACTTCAAACTATACTACAAGGCTACAGTAACCAAAACAGCATGGTACTGGTACCACAACAGAGATATAGATCAATGGAACAGAACAGAGCCCTCAGAAATAACGCCGCATATATACAACTATCTGATCTTTGACAAACCTGAGAAAAACAAGCAATGGGGAAAGGCTTCCCTATTTAATAAATGGTGCTGGGAAAACTGGCTGGCCATATGTAGAAAGCTGAAACTGGATCCCTTCCTTACACCTTATACAAAAATCAATTCAAGATGGATTAAAGACTTAAATGTTAGACCTAAAACCATAAAAACCCTAGAAGAAAACCTAGGCATTACCATTCAGGACATAGGCATGGGCAAGGACTTCATGTCTAAAACACCAAAATCAATGGCAACAAAAGAGAAAATTGACAAATGGGATCTAATTAAACTAAAGAGCTTCTGCACAGCAAAAGAAACTACCATCAGAGTGAACAGGCAACCTACAAAATGGGAGAAAATTTTCACAACCTACTCATCTGACAAAGGGCTAATATCCAGAATCTACAATGAACTCAAACAAATTTACAAGAAAAAAACAAACAACCCCATCAAAAAGTGGGTGAAGGACATGAACAGACGCTTCTCAAAAGAAGACATTTATGCAGCCAAAAAACACATGAAAAAATGTTCATCATCACTGGTCATCAGAGAAATGCAAATCAAAACCACAATGAGATACCATCTCACACCAGTTAGAATGGCAATAATTAAAAAGTCAGGAAACAACAGGTGCTGGAGAGGATGTGGAGAAATAGGAACACTTTTACACTGTTGGTGGGACTGTAAACTAGTTCAACCATTGTGGAAGTCAGTTGTGGCGATTCCTCAAGGATCTAGAACTAGAAATACCATTTGAGCCAGCCATCCCATTACTGGGTATATACCCAAAGGACTATAAATCATGCTGCTATAAAGACACATGCACACGTATGTTTATTGCGGCATTATTCACAATAGCAAAGACTTGGAACCAACCCAAATGTCCAACAATGATAGACTGGATTAAGAAAATTTGGCACATATACACCATGGAATACTATGCAGCCATAAAAAATGATGAGTTCATATCCTTTGTAGGGACATGGATGAAATTGGAAATCATCATTCTCAGTAAACTATCGCAAGAACAAAAAACCAAACACTGCATATTCTCCCTCATAGGTGGGAATTGAACAATGAGATCACATGGACACAGGAAGGGGAACATCACACTCTGGGGACTGTTGTGGGGTGGGGGGAGGGGGGAGGGATACCATTGGGAGATATACCTAATGCTAGATGACGAGTTAGTGGGTGCAGCGCACCAGCATGGCACGTGTATACATATGTAACTAACCTGCACAATGTGCACATGTACCCTAAAACTTAAAGTATAAAAAAAAAAAGAAATAACAAATTCAAATTTCAGTAAACACACTCAATGTCTTTTTTTAAGTCCATGTACATGTACATATTTCAATATTACTTAGTTTCTCACTGGAAACCCTGTTCTGCTGCTGGATGTTTAGTCTTCCTTGTGTTCCCTCTCAAGCAATGGTGTTAGCTACACATCTAGCATTTTAGGAGATGCCAGAGTGATGTAGGGTGGGCAGAGGAAGCTATCTAGTCTTCCGATTTTGGGTTACAGAGGGAGAGGCTGAAATGCTCATATTCTCCACTACACTGTGCTCCTTCATTCTAGCTCCCCTGCTGTCCCTGTGAGTTATTTATTTCTTAAAATTCTGTCTATAAGCATTGCATGGTCCTATCTGCATAGGCCAACCATACCTGTTCTGTTGTTGCCTACTTTCCAGGACAGTGCCAATACATGGTATTTCCTCTGTTCTAGAACCATCCCCATCTGTCATATCTCATCTGCCCCCAAGAACCTCTTTTTCACTGCAGGTTAAACTTTCTTTTTTTTTTTTTTTCTTTTTTTTAATTGGTTTTTGAAGTGGAGTCTTTCTCTGTTGCCCAATTTGGAATGTGGTGGCATGATCTCGGCTCACTGCAACCTCCGCCTCCCAGGTTCAAGCAATTCTCCTGCCTCAGCCTCCTGAGTACCTGGGACCACAGGTGTGCACCACCATGCCTGGCTAATTTTTGTATTCTTAGTAGAGATGGGGTTTTACCATATTGGCCAGGCTGTTCTTCAACTCCTGACCTCAGCTGATCCACCCGCCTCGGCCTCCAAAAGTTCTGGGATTACAGGCATGAGCCACTGCGCCAGGCCTCTTCTTTCATGTTTCTGCCTGATATTATAGCCATGCCTCTGGATTCTCTCTCTTACTGTGTGCCAGTTTATTTCTTCTCCGATGACAAATTGTTTTTCCATCCCATGATTAAGGTTTTTGAAACAAAAGCCAGAATAACTGGCAACTGTATCTAATTTTTCATCCTGCTTTATCCTCCTCCTAACACAGTAGGTTGGAGGGTTATTATCTGTGGTGGAAAATAATACTGTCATCAAGCTAGTAGTCCTCCACACCAGTGATTCTCAATTTGGGGCAAATTTTCTCTCCAAAAACTATTTAGTAATGTCTGAAGACATTTTTTATTATCATGACTGAGGGGGAGTGTTCTACTGGCATCTGGATGATAGAGGTCATAGACATGGAAGCTGCCAAACACATACGCTTGGCAGTGCACAAGACTGTCCCCCCATCACAAAGAGTTCATATATATATATATATATATATATATATGAAGTGTGCGTGTGTGTGTGTATACTTAAGGAAAGTCCAAAATTGCAATAGTCTTGTACCAAGGTTGAGAAAACCTGCTCCACAGGAAGCTATGCACAAAGCAGGTGTTAATAAGTGATCATTGACTTCAAGTCTTGGTTTCTTCCGTCCCTGATCTCTTTGCAACCTTAGGAAGCTGGAAAGACTTTAGAACTTTTGTTTTGTCAGTAACTTTAACTAGATGTCTACTATGCTCCTCATGAGCAAACTTGCCTATCACATGTCTATGTCATTGTCATTCTTCCTGCCTTAAAACTATGCATTTCATTCTCTTTATGCGTCCTGCTTGCATATTCATTATTATGCATCACTGAGTACCTACTTACTAGAGAAAAAGTGGGACTGAAGTTTGATCTTGACTTCTGTGTATTTACAATTAAACTAGAGAGGGAAATAAATGTACTACAAGAATATAATATGATGAGATCGGTGAGCAAACTCAGAGTACTAAGGAAGTGGAGAGACTACCGAATACCCTGTGAATTTGCAAGGGCAGAGAGGCAGAAAGAACTCATCCCTGAGATGGGAAAAAGGATGATATTGAGTTGGGGTAAGTCTGAATTTTAGACTAGAAAAATGAGAAGAATACTAAGACAGGCAAGGTATGGTACGCCAAACAAATAGAGATGAGGAAGATGGTTAGGGGCAAGCAAGGCATCCCATGTAATTTGTGAAGATTGGAGCAAAATGAAAAGCAGAGCCTCTTATTCAGAAAGCAGGAAAGCGGCACCATTAAAGGTGCTACAGTGTGAAGTTATTTTTCTTCCTTCTGCAGCCCATTTCTCAACCTGTCTTGATGTTTTTCACTTGCTGTTTATTATAGCAGCTGTGCTATAGATTAGAGCAGAGGGGGAAAAGTGAAGAGTGAGTAAGAGGAAATAGGTGGTTTAAACTGTCTGGGATTTCATAGGTAATAACCTTAGAAGAATGTTATAGAGCAGGCATTTAAAGTTATCAGTCATGTGGTCACCCGAGAACGGGAATTTATAGAATGGGAAAAGTTGGGTGAAAGAAAGGACATAAAAAAGAGAATGAAGAGAGGTTGGTTAATGAGTATAAATACAGAGTTAGGTAGAAAGAATAAGTACTAGTGATTGGTAGCACGGTAGTATTACCATAGTTAATAATAATTCACTGTATATTTCAAAATAACTAGGAGAAAAGATGTGAAATATTACCAACACAAATAAATTGTTAATGTTTGAGGTAGTATTCTAAATACCCTGATTGAATCATTGCCATTGTATGCATGTATCAAAACATATCATGTACTCCATAAATATGTACAATTATTATGCATCTATTTAAAAAAAAATTGAACAGGCTGGGCGTGGGGGCTCACGCCTGTAATCCCAGCACTTTGGGAGGCCGAGGTGGGTGGATCACCTGAGGTTAGGAGTTCGAGACCCACCTGGCCAACATGGTGAAACCCTCTCTCTACTAAAAATACAAAAATTAGTCAGGCATGGTGGCGTGTACCTGTAATCCCAGCTCCTTGGGAGGCTGAGGCAGGAGAATCACTTGAACCTGGGAGGCAGAGGTTGCAGTGAGCCAAGATTGAACCACTGCACTCCAGCCTGGGCAACAAGCGTGACATTCCATTAAAAAAAAAAAAAAAAAAAAAACTGAACAAGGGAGAGAAATAAGTACGATAAGAAGAAAGTTCAGCTCCTTAACTAATTAAAATGAATTTTAAAGACTATGGATGAGTTTTAGCCTGTCTGTGATTGTAGCAGCCAGGCAATTACTTTTTTTATTCTGATAAAATTTAAAACTTCTAAGTATAGAAAAAAATATTGTTTAGTACTATCTGTTCCTTGAAACTCATGTATAACAATCCAATGCACTGATAAATCTGGATTGTAATTTTGTGATTATAAAATCAATTAAAAATCAGTCTGAAAGTGGAACAAAATTTTAAAACCTTACGTAAAAATGTTATTTTATATATTCCTTGTCAGTATCTATGGATTGGTAGTAACATTTTTACTTTTTGGAAACACATGTATTCACACCCTCTTTTTTTAACTTAACAATACACATAAATATTTTCTGTTTGGCTGAAATGGCTATTTAATATTCCATTGAATAGATGGACTATAACTTTTCTAAGCCTTTTCCACTTGGAAAAATGTGTTTTCTTGGCTTTCTTACTGTATATAAAATTTCAGGAAACTTCAGCTTTTCACACATATAGTTTTATTCTTTTATTTATTTTTATTCTTTTATTTATTTAGAGACAGAGTCTCGCTCTGTCACCCAGGCTGGAGTGCAGTGGCACGATCTCGGCTCACTGCAACCTCCACCTCTCAGGTTCAAGCGATTCTCCTGCCTCAGGCTCCCGAGTAGCTGGGATTACAGGTGGGTGCCACCATGCCCAGCTAATTTTTTGTATTTTTAGTAGAGTCAGGGTTTCACCATGCTGGCCAGGCTGGTCTCGAACTCCCGACCTCGTGATTTGCCCGCCTCGGCCTACCAAAGTGCTGGGATTACAGGCATGAGCCACCGCTCCCGGCCTATTCTTTTTTTATTTAAGCATCCTTTTGTAAGTGATTTTGTCAGGAGGTAGCAAGGTGACATGCCATTCTTGTAAAATGAAAATGAGATGGAACTAGCAAAAATTAATGTTGACAAAACAGAAACATAAGAAAATGAAACAAAACAAAGAAAAAGAATGAGCTGCAACCCTGCTAAGAACATGAGCGAGGTTTAAAATATAGAGGGGGACAACTCAGCTAATCTCTAGGTCTGAAGACAATTGCATTAATGAAAATCACCAATATTGTTAGAAAGATTTCTGATGAAACAGTATGTTCCAATGCCCTAAAGGTGTTTTAATCATCAGTTTTACAAAAGACAACTCCAGTTTTACAGGAAATAAATTACCACAGCGTTGTACTGAGTTATGGTTTTCACTGGAGCTTCTATAGTTGAACATGTTGACATTCGATGGGGCAATTTTCTGTTAGTGTAATTAGCCAGTTCAGATTTACCAAAGCACATTTGTCATGCCCCAAAGATAACGGTTTCAGAGAGGAGAATGGGAAAAGCAGTCAAAGGAATAAAAACAAGAAGACCAGGCTTGATAAATGAAGAAGGTAAACAGTTTAGAAAAATACCAATATTGCTTGCTTGCGCAATTATTCACTGGAACCCTATCTGGGAGTACAAGGTCATATTTAAGTGACAATAATATATCTGAAATCATTCATTTTAACCAAAAGAAGCAGTATTACTGAGTCCATGGTAGCTATCAAAACTTTTTAAGCTACTTTGGAACAAAATATAGATAGGCAAGGGTTTAAATAACTGCCCATTCATCCAAGTCTTCATTAAATGAAAATCCTGTCTATCCAAGTTAAGATTTTTGAATTAGACTCTTATCAATCCCTTAAATTTCATCACCAGCAATTCTTTTTCAAGTAATGAGCTATTCCTGATTTGAAAATTGAGGATTTGTCTTTTAATAGGGAATCTACATCTGCATTTCACTGTGAACATAAAACATACCACCGAGTTATTCTATGAAGAGGATTAGCACATTTATTTACTTATTTTGGGTTATAGATATTTACAAAAAAGAAGAAATAAAGATTATTGCAGAATAATTTCTCCCTAAGGTCAGTAGCTGATATGGTTTGACTCTGCATCCCCACCCAAATTGCGTCTCGAATTGTAATCCCCAGGTGTTGAGGTAGGGACCTGTCATCCCTACATGTTGTGGGAGGGAGGTGATTTGATCACGGGAACAGTTTCCCGCATGCTGTTATCATAATAGTGAATGAGTTCTCATGAGATCTGATGGTTTCATAAGGCAGTTTTCCATACTCTTGCTCATTTTTCTCTCCTGCTGCCTTGTGAAGGTCCTTGCTTCCCCTTCACCTTCCACCATGATTGTAAGTTTCCTGAGGCCTCCCCAGCCATGTGGAACTGTGAGTCAATTAAACCTCTTTTATTTATCCATTATTCAGTTTCGGGGAATTTCTTTATAGCAGTGTGAAAACCGACTAATACAGTAGCATTTTTTCTCACTCCCTTTCATCTTGAAAGGCACACACACACACACACACACACACACACCTGAAAAGTACCCTTGAACAAAACAGCTATTACATTATTTTCCCTTAGTCTCAGACCTGGTTACAGCTATCTCTACAAGCTCTCCTCAGTCCCATTTCTGCCAGTCTCAGGTGAGTTACTGTGATTGACATGAATGTGAGACAGAAAGTAAAAGGAACAGAAGTGAGGGTTCTCCAGGAGATGGGGATTGAAGTGAGCGAAGATCGCGCCACTGCACTCCAGCCTGGGTGACAGGGCAAAAATAAATAAATAAATGAAGTAGAAGAAGAACCAGCAGTTAGGGTTCTATACACTGTTTTTTGTTGTTGTTGTTGTTTTTCTTTTGGAGGACTCTTTCCTTTGGAGGGTGATTCCTTTTTGGCTTGGAGAGCCAGCTTGTACAAACACGTAAGAGTTATAGACGGGCTGAAAGGGGTATAGCTAGAAATAGGCAACAGACAACATTTTTGGGTGATGAAAATGTTCTAAAACTAGACTGTGGTAATGATTGCAAAGCTCTAGGAATTTACTAAAAGTCATAGGCTTTTTATACTTTCAACAAGTGTAGTTTATAGTATATAATTATACCTTAACCCAAAGCTATAAAATACAAACAAAAACAAAAACAAAATAAATACAGTGAGACCACCATAAACTGTTATTTAAGTTCTAAACATTTTCATAAACCCAACTTTACTGCTTAGCCACAACACTTCTTACTTAATGTACTTTTTTTTCTATTCCTTTTTTTTTTTTAACAGAGTCTCACTCTGTTGCCCATACCGGAAAGCAGTGCTCAGCTCACTGCAACCTCTGCCTTCTGGGTTCAAGCTCTTGTGCCTCTGCCTCTTGAGTAGCTGGAACCACAGGCACATGCCATCATCCAGGCTAATTTTTGTATTTTTGGTAGAAATGGGATTTTACCATGTTGTCCAGGCTGTCTTGAACTCCTGGACTCCAGTGATCTACCTACCTCGGCCTCCCAAAGAGCTGGGATTAAAAGCATGAGCCACATCGCCCGGCCGACTTATTGTACTTTCTATTACCTGATTCATTCTGGCTTAACAAAGTCAGTGAATCCCAAACTATCACATATTTTTAAGAGTTATCTAAGGAATTTTTGGCCAATAGGTTTGGGGTAATCAAGAACAACATTAACAAACACGTTGTGTCATGTGCCTACCACAGGCGAAGCTCTCTTCTAGATGCTAGAAATTCTGCAATAAAAAAATAAATAAACAGACACAAATCTTTGGTCTCATTGAAGTTATACCTTACACAATGTATTTGTTAGTTTGTAATATTTGTAAAATAAGTGTAGAAAGTTTGGATCTGTGTTGCCAAATGCACCATTAAAATTTGTCCTCTAAACACACTTTCAAAAATAAAAGAGTTGAAAAAGGTGTTTAATGGTCTGTGTTCCAGTTAGTATCTCTACCACAAATAGAATAGTATTTCTAGTCTTTTCCATTTTCTAGGTATTTATCTGTGGAGGGAGTCAGTGTGTGTTATGTGTGTATGAGAGAGAGAGAGAAAGAGACAGGTATATGTGTAGGAATGCTTGGGTAGAAAAAAGAGAGGTAAGTCATCTTATGACCTAAAAATTATTATCAGTAGTATTATCTCTTACACAAAGCATTTTCAACTAGATTAACAATAAATACTTGCAGTTGAGTTTAATAAAATTAATGAAATCTAGAATTTTAAAATATTACTGAAAATTTAAAAGACCACCTATTCCTTAGTTGCATTTTCTGACAAAAATATCCTGACACCTGAATGTAAAAGTTTTCCCTGCGTGTTAGGGCTCACCTGTTTGCCAGGGGCATAGTTGGGAAGCAAATCCAGGTCTGAAATAGACAGATTGAGAGAGAAAAATTTCAGAAAGCCAAATCCTTAGTTAAGAGGCAAAAAAAAAAAAAAAAAAAAAAAAAAAAACCGAAAAAAAAAAGTCCAATAATATCACGCCTGTAATCCCAGCACTTTGGGAGGCCCAGGCAGGTGGATCACAAGGTCAGGAGATTGAGACCATCCTGGCTAACACGGTGAAACCCCGTCTCTACCTAAAATACAAAAAATTAACCGGGCATAGTGGAGGGTACCTGTAGTCCCAGCTACTCGGGAGGCTGAGGCAGGAGAATGGCGTGAACTTGGAGGCGGAGCTTGCAGTGAGCCAAGATCGCACCACTGCACTCCAGCCTGGGCGACAGAGCGAGACTCCGTCTCAAAAAAAAAAAAAAAAAAAAAGAAAAAAGAAAACAAACAAACAAAAAAATCCAGTCTTGGAGGGTTTTAAAGGATGTAGAACAGGGCTTCTCAATAGCAGCGTTACGGGCATTTTGAGCCAGGTCATGTTTTTGTTGTTGTTATTATTGCTTGTTTGTTTTTCCTGAGGGACTGTGGTGTGCACTGTAGGATGTTTAGCAGTATCCCTGGACTTTACTGACTTGATGCCAGTAGCATTTCTCTTCACATGTGACAAACAAAACGTCTCCAGACATAGCCAAATCTCTTCTGAGAGGCAAAGCCACCCCTTTTCCTCTGTTTTCACTACCCCATTAAGAACTACCGATATAGAAAAACAGATATAGTCAATTATAGTGTAACAATGCAAGTTTGCCTGAGAAAGTCCTGGTTTATACCTGTTATCCTGGCATATTACTAGTGACTCCTTTTCCCTTTAAAATTGTCCCTGTTTGTAGTATAAACTATACGATCAGTCTAATAATAGGCCACTTCTCTCCAGTCTGTATTGTGCATTTATGAAAAGTGCAGAGGGTATTTGTAGTACAGTGACTAGAAGCTTGGTTTTCCCATAGGCTTTATCTTCCACTAGGTAAAGAAGAATTGGACCTGTTAGCTTTATGTTAGAAGTATTAATTTTGGGTTGCTCTTTTTCTAAACGTCTAAATATCCTTCTCTCCTAGTGTCACAAGTTCATGCTTTGGATCACACTGTGATTTAAAAAACTCAGTGTATATCTATCTCTGATATTCTGTAATAGCTTACTGTTTTAAGGACAGAAGACTACACACAGGTTTACATTACAGAGTTCATTCTAGAGTCTAATCTGACATTGAAGTTTCCCTAGGTAAAATCCTCAAATCTATAAGAAGGGAACTAAGTTACCATAATCAAGCCTCAAAGGCTCAGTGTTAGTAATCTGTTATTTTATACATTCACTAATTTATGAACATTTAATGAGCGCATACTATGTATTAAATATTAAATTACATGCTAAACCCACAAAGATGAAAAGCTATGACCTCTGCTCTGGAGAATGATGTCTCCTTCAAACAAGAGAGATTAACAGAGGAACGAATAATCATGATACAATGTGATAATTACACTAATTATTTTGTATGCCAACCACAATTAGAAAACTATGAAGGGAATAAGAATGCTACCAACGTAGGGAAAGAAACAGGTCAAGGATGGAGGGGGATTGTTATAAATAGACAGATGTACTTTAAAACTCCTTGGGCATTTCTTCTTTTGAACGTTGAGCTGTCATGAAAACTCCCATTGGGAACCTCAGACGATGTAAGTGAGATGCATGATGCCACTTTCAGGGATCAGTTAGTTAGTGCCCCTAAGCACTCTTCCAGATTTGTCTATCATTAAGGAATACACTCTTAACAACCTGAGAAAGTACAAGGCTATAGGCCAAGTCCAGGCTAAAAATTATAAAAAGGAACTGGTCTAGAAGCATACATTGCCGTCATAAGAATAAGACAGTGACCAAAGGTCTTGATTCCAGATGCCAAATATTAGATCCATCTGTCAGCTTAGTTCCACAATTTAGGAGTAAAATATAAGGTACTAAAACCTGGTGTCCCTGGGGCTTGCTGGTTGAGAAATCCTAATCCAGGTGAGCAATTGCTAGTCCAAACAGGTGTTTTATCTTCCTTCATCCCTCTCTACAGACCTTTGTCGTGGCTTACTTTATTTTTTCATAAAATTAAAATAACAGAAAAATATTTAAGGGTTGTATTTTCATTGTCATTTGTTTTACTGCTCTGAAGCAGGAAAATAAAGATAAATTCAAAGATAATAAAAGAAAATGAGGCTATGGGCAAGGAAGCTGTGACTTGTCTTTAGTGTTGGCTATTTGATATTGAGATATAATTTTATAAGCTGAAAAATATAACCATTACATTAGATTGAAGTAAAACATGCACCATATTTTGCAATCTGTCCATACACATTACACAACCCATTCCTGTGTGAAGGAGTTTTTCCATGTATTATTTGTGAAAGTGGTATAGTTCCAAATATTTGTATATTCCTATTTAAATATGTCATTCTCATGATTATTGTTGTTTGCCATTGATGAAAAATATCTGTCTTCTAAGTAAAGATCATCAATACTTTATGGAATACTAAATCTTAGATCTTGAAGAAAATTGAATTATTCATTTTATAAGTAGAACCCCACTAAAGAGGCTTAAATTCATAGAGCTAATTAGTAGTAAGTTTCAGACTAGAAATCAAGTATTTCCAAATCTATTTATGTGTCCTTCCCATTGCCTAAGACTTTTTAGTAAAATAATTCTTGGAACCCTTCCTAACATTTTAAAAGTAGGGTGATAGACATATCCCAGTTTCCGTGAGATTTTACTGGTTTTAGCACTGAAAATCACAGGTCCCAAGAAAACCTCTCAATCTCAGGAAAGCTTTTTTTTTTTCATGAAATTAAAATAACAGACAAATTTCGAAGGTTGTATTTTTATTTTCATATGTTTTTGTGCTCCAAAGAAGGGTAATAAAAAATTGAAAGAATATAAAAGAAAATGAGAATGTAGGCAGCAAAACTACATATGGCTGGGAACCCCATGACGTGCGCTTATTTTATTTTTTTGTTTGCTCTTTCTCTTTCACTCACTCACATGCATTCATGAGCTAGAAACCTGAGAGTTTCTTAAGCTGTATTGTATTTGCTTTTTTCTATCATAGTACTGGTAAGTGATGATTCCATTGTCCTGAGATATGGAGAACTGGAGCTCCTGCATGAGCTCATCTTTTGGGTGAACCTGCTGAGGCTCTCCTTTGACTGTGACCCAGTCAATGGGGTAGGAGTCTTGCAGCCAACAGGATGTGCCCATACAGTGGTCTTACCGCCCTTTTAGACAACACTCTGGCTATCAGGGACTCTGGAGATGGCGTGCAACCTTCTAGAGTGTGTAGGCCTCCTCACTACTATGTGCTCATATCAGTAGTCAAGGTGGGCAAGAGCAGCTCTTTGTAAGGTCCTGGGAGGAGGATGTGGAAAGAAATTGAATGAATAAACCTAGGTGTCTGTATGCCTATGCATATGTCTCCTGTTGTATGGAGAGAAGCCAGGGGTGGAAAGAAAGGGGAGAGTGCAGCCAGCAATTGGAGCCAGCTCCACCCCCATGATCTGAGAATTCTAAATTTAAAGTTGGCCTTCTAGAGACTTATATAAAGGGACATTTGTCAAGATAGGAGGTTTGAATACATTGTATTACACAGTTGGTTAGCTTGATTTATAATTTTAAAATATTTATCCATATGGTGTTCAGGTCTGCATTTGTACTAATGTTCCAGTCTCTGTAACTCTTATGGGAGGGCTTGATTTCTGCCCTCCCTTAGCTCAGGTTTGTTCCTGATATCGCCTATAGATGTATTTAGAAACATTGGTTCTCTGTGCAACACAACAATCAAATACATTTAGGATACATGGGCACCTCTTAAGCCAGCTTCCCATGTCAGGGCTTCAAGGTCTGTTCTGTTCTCTTTTGGGCCCTGACTTCATTGTCCTGGCTGGCCAATAGCTTCAAACAGCCATAATTGGAGGAAGGTTTGGTCTGCTGTCTGGTTAACTCCATTACTGAGAGCAAAGAAAGTCTTCCTAGCATAGATAAAGATGGAAGGAGTCCTTGACTTTAAAATGTTACAGGAGAATCAATTGAAATACATTTCTCTAGAGAGAGTTTTTTTCCAACACATTCAGGTGTAAAAAATATATTTTATGTTTAATATCATACATATACTATCTCACACTCTTTAACTGTGACAATTGCTGTGTCAGTAAATTACTGAGCTACTTTAACACCGTAATCAAATTTCACAAATTCAGATAAGGGAATTTTAAAAAACCTAACAAATAACAGTAGCCACTCTGCTGAGCATTTACAATGCACCAACTGTTTGCTGAATGGTTTACATCCATGGTCAGAGTTTATTCTTGGGAAAAAAAAAGATGACTGTAGTCTACCCACATTTATTTGGTTGAGAAAACTGAGGTCTTAGGTTATCTATCTTGTCCAAGTCACATAACTAATGTGCAGTAAGTTATCCTCTGTCAAAGCATTAGTTAATTCATCTAGGATACATTTATTGCCAATCTTTCATGTGTAATGTACTGTGCTAGGTGCTCCCTGTTTGTTGGATAGATGGGCAAGAAAACAATTGTTTATGGAACTTACTGTCATGTGAAAGCTTAATATGTTTTAGGAAATCAGAAGAGGGATATTGAATTTAACCCTGGGGCTCATAAATTTCTGAAAAGGTTTTCATGTGGTGTCAAACCTGGAACTGAGTCTGAAAAAAGAAACAGTTATTATTTAAGATTGATGAAGTGAAGACAGGCTTGGTGGACATAAAGAATTACATATGCAAAGTCACAGAGGCATGAATGTTCTTGGAAGGTGTAGAGAATGGTATTTACTTTCCTATAGTCAGAGAGGCTATAAAGGATGAACATATGAAGCTAAACCAATTAAGAGAAGATAGAGACGATTTTTAAAATATTGTCATAATAAAGAAAACACCAGAAACACCAATGAATTTTGTCTTTATAGGTTTGTAGGTATATAGAACATGACTGCAGGAAGAACACCTAAAATCTTACTATTCATTTTAACATCTGAAAGATGAAGAAATGGGTCCTGGATATATTTAATCTAAGTTCAGTCTAAGAACTAAAAAGTAGCAAAGTGCTATTCTCCTGAATCTCCAATCCCAGAGCAATAATAGTCACCTTTGAAATAATTTATTTTATCTTGAGTAATCTAATAACTAAATTTAAATCCTAATCAATGAATATTTCCTAACTGCTGACTACATTTTAGTGCATATATGGTTGCAGAAGACAAAATAAATTTGGGTAGACTACAAAGAGAACAGTTAATTCAATTCAGAAAAAAATGATAAGCATTTTATTTTCAATTGTCATCTCACTTCTTTAATACCAAATGATATTATAATAGCAAATGCATTTGCATATCGTAATAGTGCATGTGGTTTTGGAAATGTGATCAAACTCTTATGCTAAAGTCAAGCCTTCTATGAGTCCCCTCACTGTGTGACTCCTGTCTCAACCTTGGTGGTTCCAGTTCTAGGACCAGTCCTAACTCTCTGTGGAAGAGGCTGAGTGTTGACATTTTAGACTGACATCCCAATTTACATAGCCAGGAATTTGCCTCATTTTTTAAACCAGGCCCCTGCCCTGTAACTCACTTCTGATACATGTGCTCCTGTATTATGACTAGGTCTGTCCTTCCTTTTTCAGTCTTCTCCAAAGATGTATTCAGCTGTAAACCTCAAGCTATAACTAAACTCCACTGCCTTTTTTGTAGATATTATTGGTCCAGTCATCTTGTATTTCTAAACACATGTACTCATCGATGAGCTCTTTCCACCTGTTGGAACATACCTACGTTCTCCATTAAATCTCTCTGATGCTTGCTGATATACTGCTACATCTGCTGTTACTCTTTCTCTCAGATAGTGTTCATCTGGATAGGCAGGGCCTAATTATGGCATCTAAACCTGGGTCTGGACCTTAGTATCTATCCCAGGCTGGTGATAAAGTCCCAACAGTTTCTAGCCTATCCTTTCTAACTTCAATTAGCAATAGTGTATTCCATTTTTACAATATTTTTTAAAAAGTTGTGTTCCCCATATGAACAAAATGACTGTTTGTTCCTGCTTTATGTTGAACAATTAATAGCAGGTACCATACTTCCTATAATGTAGGACCGATAGTCATTTGTTAAAGAGGAAAATATGGAGTGGTGGACTATAAGGAAGGAATACGGAAACCCTGTGGTAATATTCTTTGGAAGGAGTTAGGGTTCTGGATAGTAGAGGTTAAGAGGAAGTAATCTGCTGCATCCAGGAAGCATTCACCTACCGAAAGACCACAGATGTGCCACTGCTTTAGAGAAAGGCTCTGTTTGTTGAGTGATTTGGAAAACTTGCTAAGCTCCCCTTTTCTTCTAAAAGTGGTCTTTTGAGTTTGCCCTGCTTTCATTCTTCATAAGGAAAAGTTGCCAATAAAACCTGAAGGCTTCAAATTGAGATGTTCTAAGCTATAGGGGGTGTTTAAAGATCTATAATGATCAGGAAGCACAGATAGAAACACAATATAATAAAAAGGTTAGGATCAGATATTGTTTTAGAGAGATCCTCTGGGCTATTTCTAATTACAGATAAGACTGAATTATACATAAAGAGCTCATTAAGCTGAAAGTCAGGAGTCATGTGTTTCAGTAAAGACTCTCCTTGTAACTAGTTGTAGACGGTTCCTTTGAATAAGTCACTTGAATTGTCCAGCCTTATCTTGTCCAGCTATATACTGATGGGAATTAAGAGTTTTCTATTTCATACTGCAATTTATTCTGTTCTGTCAGGAATTCTGTTCTATGACAGTGCATAAAAATTCTCTGTAAACACTATTATTCAACAGTGAAATTTACAATACAAGGAAAATACAACTAAAAATTTAAAAAAAAATTAACATCGGTGGGCAATGAACATCATGTGCATGTTAGCTTTTACTTTTCAAATTCAGATGTACTCAAACAGCACGGAACCCTAGTTGAATGCTTTATGTCTGTTTTCATCCTCCTATAGTCTTAAAAAATCAGAACACATCCTGTATATGCTGTTTATAAAATACATAATTACGTATCCTAATTACTACCATTAATGCAATTTTATTCCAATGTGGTTATATATTCATAAAACTCTTTAGCTACAAAAGAGAGAACATTAGAGACACTATTTACATACAGTGCCTCAGAACTTATATTGATAGTTTCATGATATAGTTTTGCATCAGTAAAAAAACATTAAACAAAAGAAAGTATTATAGAAAATTGTATTTTAGCATATCCAAAGTTTTTTCTTGTCTTAAAAAAATCTTTAAATTTATTTTTAATTTCTTTGTTTATTTCTTCACTTTAATAAATCAAATATTTGATTACATGCTTTTTTTCTGGTACATTCAATATTCATAATGGCTGATAGCACATCAAAGAATCAATTTAAATCTTCAGCGTCTTGGATGATAAGAGAAAAAATGTCTTTAGAACAGGTGTCATAAAGGATGAGAATCTCAGAGAAATAATATCTGAAGAGAAATAGAGAAATAGATACATAGTATATACCAAGCCACCACAATGGAAGTAGAGGCATCAACATATCCTGAATGAATACCATAATTTCCCTCCATAACATACATACTTGTTATTTTCTTCACCCCTTAAATGGTAGTAGTATTATGGGTTATAAAGATACAAGAGAAAATTATTCAAGGTGGAGGGACACATGCAACCATTTTACATAGTCTAAAAGCAGCCAGTCCTCATAGTGTATCTGTATTGTGAGCAGGATCACATTACTTTTCCTGGCAGTCTTTGGGTTGCCCAGCACAATGACAGTTTTCTATACCAAACTGGCTTTGTATTGGGCAAGGTTAGGTCCTCCACCCAGAGAACGCTAGCTCTTGCCACTCTGAGACTTGTCTCATCTAATTTTAACTTGCAAATATTGATTTTTCCCCAGTATAAAAGTGGTGTGTGTAAAATATACAAATTTCAGGACTATAAAAATGCATAGAAAAAATAATTCATATATAATTACACTACTCAGACATTGTACTATTTTGGTACATGTTTTCCTAGTACTGTAATATACATATAAATTATGTGAATAGATTTATTTATATGTATGCATGTATACATGTGTATGTTTATGTATATACTCATATATATAATATGTGCATATTTTATATGTACATATTATTTACATATGTGTAAATATATATTATTTTTGCATTTTATACAATGTTACCATATTGTACAAACTCCATGGAGCAAACTGATTTATTTTTACTCGGTAAACCTTTTATGAATATTTCTCAGCAACATGATTTTACTGCTTGTTAGTATTTCGCTATATGTATACACAATTTTTAAATTTATCCACTTTTTATTGATTCACAAATTATTATGAATATTTTATTTTTAAAGATTTCCATTAGCAGGAATAAAATAAAAATAGAGGTCCGTTTTTCATTTAATCCTCAGTATAGATGTTGAACTCATAATGATCACTTTCTTGGTACCAGCCTTTGTGCTAGAAGATGATTTATATGTATGATATCATTTAATCATCAAACTTCCCTGTAGAACAGACAGTGCTAGTCGCATTTTATAGTCCAAAAAAACTGGATGACACTTTAATTAAAATATATATATATACACGCATAAACATTCACATACAAACACAGACATCACACATACATAGGCATATATACTGAATTGGAAATTCTACTAAATTTGGTCACTTTGCTTTTAGGAGTTAATAAATGAGCTCAGGAAAGAGCTTTCAATCTGTTGTAGTAACTGACTCTGGTTTTGCAAGTCTGTAAAAGGTATGGGACCATAGGCTTTTGGAATTATCTAGATAGGATACTAAATTTCTTCTGGCTTAATTACATTGTTTTACAGATGAGAAACTTCATCTCAAATAATCACATTTATATCAGTTTCAGCATCTGAGTCTAAATTCAGGCTGTCCATTCATAGCATCCTTTATTCATTAATTTATGCATTCAATAATTACTTGTCCAGTATCTACTGTGGGCTGAACAAGTGTGGTAAGGCCTGAAAGGTGTGGAGATCAGATTTTCAAGAGCTTATCTCATCAGTAGATCTCAAATTTAAAACTTTTCCTAATATATTTATTTAAGAAAATGTTTAGCATGTGTCTTGCATGTCTCGGCTACTGCGTTTGGTGCTCAGAAAACAAAGAACAGTAAGTACATCCTCCGTGGAGTGGAAGAGTACAGGTTAGCTGTGGAGTAAAGAGCTAGTATTTTCCCATATTGAACTCAGAATATGATCATGCACCACCTTTACCTGTAATCCTTGAAACCAAGGTAGACTCTTTTTTGTTCAAGTCTAAATCCATGTATATTCTCTCTAGCAAGATCATTTGATTGTTTCCTAATTTCCCACTTTCCTCATCCCATGACAACTTGCCATAGTTGACTGACCCTCTAGGTTACTATATCTGTACAATACACACTGATAGATTTCTTTCCATTCTAGGTATGTGATTCCAGGATAGGGCTACTATTAATTTCTCCTGGCTGTGTGCTACATAGTGGGTGTTCAGTGTGGTCCAGAGAGTGTTTCTGCTCATATCAATCAAGTCCCCTAAATCTGATGCATGGCCCCAATAGTATCAGGCAAATTAGATTTTCGTGGAGCTGTTATAGAAATTATATTAGTTACTTAGTTAGTGCTATTTGAAAATGTACCCCAAAACTTAATGGCTTACAACAACAACACCATAAATAAATTTTACAGTTTCTGTGAATCAGGAATCTAGGCATGGCTAAGCTGGCTCTTCCGGCCCAGGGGCTCTCAAAAGCCTGCAATCAAGGTATCTGCTAGGGCTGCAGTCCTCTGGAGGCTGAACTGTGGAGGAGTCACTTCCCAGCTCAATAACGTATGTGCCCTACAGGCTGTAGAGTCCTCACAGGCTGATGGTTGGAGACATCAGTTTCTTCCCTTGCTTTCTCCAAAGGGGTTCTCACAGCATGGCACTTTGCTTCCCCCAGAGTCAGAGATCTGAGAAAGAGCAAGAGCATTGCTAGCAAAACAGAAGGCATAATATTTTTGTAACCTAATCTCAAAAGTGACATTCCATCACTTCTATTATGATCTGTTCGTTTGAAGCATGTCCTGAGGTCCAGCCCACACTGAAGGGGCGGGGATTTTACAAAAGCAAAGATTTCAGGAAGTGGTAATCACTGGAAAGTGAAGAAATGGGTTATTCTGACTTGAACCTTCCAAATGCCTTCACTGATGAGATAGTATTTTAACCAGACTTTGAAGAATATAGCTTTGAGGTAAAGGGGGATTTCATGAGAAACTAAACATCAGAAAAAGTATACATACATGAATAAAGGCACAGAGAAATCAAAGTTCTGGGATTCATTCATTCCAGTGACATTATAGAGAGACTAGCATATGCTAGAGTAATAATCTGGTCAGGCTAGAGTTCAGGGCAAGTCTTATGTCTTATCTGACTCTTAGCAGAAAGACCATTAACCCAGCATTATTATCACTGCTAAGTGATGCTACATTATTACATTTTCTAGTAAGTGTATGTCAAACTTCATTACAGAGTCATGGGACTGGAGAGCATTATAAGGAGTCATATATCTTATCTCTGTTTATGGAAAAAGCATGAGCTTCACTATCTGAAATACCTGAATCCCATCTGGACCACTTATCAGCCCTTGCCTAAGTTACTTAACTTTGCTAAATCCAAGTGTCCATAGCTATAAAATGGAGCAATTATAATTACGTCAAACTGCTGTTGGAAGGATTAAAAGAGATAACATTTGTGAAAACACATAGCTTGATGCCTGGTATATAATAGACATTCAATAATCTTTGCCTGGCTTGCATTGCCTTTTTTTTCTGTACTTGGCCCTTTTTCATCCTGTCTTCATTTTAAAATTCTATCATATTGTTAAAAAAATGTGATTACCAAGTGTTTTGAAAAGGCTGCAAGGAAGGTTAGCCATTTTATATCACTCCAAGTCTTTGACATCTTTGTTTATCCTAGAGGCAGTACTATAAAATTACAACAAAATTAACCAGAAAATTAACCTTTAATCTCTTATATTTAGTTAGTATATTCCACATAATACACACTCAATAGATGCTTCTTAATTGAATGATTTTTCACCTTGTAGTCAAAAGTAATACAAAGCCTCTGAAAGGTAAAACTAACACCATTTATTATACAAAATCTAAAGAACTATAATAAGTACTAAGCAAACAGATGACTAGTATAAATGACCTAAGATCTCTGTGTTTGTAAGAAAGACATTTAATACCTAGGCTAATTATAGATATAGCACTGCCTGACACATTGTAATTTATGCTTTTATTTTGATTTCTTCTTATTTAAAGAAATTAGGTTCCTTTTCAGGTGGTATCCCATGCATCTGAGGCTGTTATGCAAATTATAGCTATGCTTACTTTCAATATTTAAAAATTATCTTAGCAATAATGTTAGCTTTAACCAGCACCTTCTTTAGGGAAGAAAAATTGAAATTGCTACCTATGTTCATTAGCAGTGAAAGAGAGGAAACAAAATATATCAAGAAGTGTAACAGACCCAAGCTCTTCTTGTCTAGTTCCATTATTTCATACAAAACATACCTGCTCATTTAACATATTTGAATATATGGCTTATTGACAAGTTAAATTAAATAATCTCTTGTAGTTCTGGATCCATCTAACTTCTAGTAACTATTCTATAATTTGTTATAGATCACATCACCCTCTATTATTAAAGATTATATGACATTATCTACTTAACCATTATAGGTTTTATTTGATTTCTGTCTTAATTTGATATATAGAGTAGAAATATGGTACTCAACGTTCATCGTTCAAAATTTTGACTTTCGAGGAGCAACTCTAAAAGTCTTTGCAATTTTGCTGAAGTTTTAATATGAATTATATAATATTTAAGGGTGATATGCAGAAGGATTACTTAAATAATGAGCAAATCCAATTGAATATCCAACACACAAACCTCAAATGTGGCTTTCTTCTAGTTAATATCACTTCTCCAGTCATTCCAGTGAAGTGGTCAAAAAATATTTAGAGGAAAAAAAAAGTGACATAAGTAAAAAAAAAAAAAAAAAAAAAAACTTAGTAAAAATAGAAAAGGCAGTTAATTTACGAATAACAAAACATACAGAACATATAGCTTTAATGGAAATATGAATTGTAGCAGAATAGGCCAAGCATCTTTACAAGTGTTTCTAGTGTGTGAACTGGAGGACATTTCATGTTGTATTGGGTATATCTAAAATATTAAGTACTTTCTAACTAGACAAATTATAGATTCTGAATTATAGAAATTGTCTTTTTTAAAATTTTTCCTCCATGGCCAAAAAGCTTAACTACAAAGCAAAAGCTTTTTATACAAGCCAGAATTTTATGAGACTTGAGACATTTTTTGCTCCTTTAGGTGGTATACCTGTTTGGGAAATCCAAGCAATAGATGGCAAGACAGAATTAGATTCAGAAAAAAATTATTAGAAGGAAATGTCTCTGAAGGCACATGGGGAGAGAAAGCCGAGACAGGCCAAAAGAGTCTTTGGGTGAGGAATTGGATGTCGCAACTGTCAAAATTGTAATGGAAGGAAGGGAGTTTGGGTAGGAAGAGCCCTGACTACATTACACTGTGAGAATATCTCAGCCAGACCACTAGGTCCCCCAAGGAAAATATTGCCCCTAAATGAGAACATGCTAGGCAAGAATGGACTAGCTCTACTGCCTTCTTCAAGGTCAGTCACTGAGTGGGAGCAGCTTTGGGATAGTATAATTTTAGCATGAACTCTACAGTACATCTTGAAATTGCAGACTTGGTGGCTGTCAACTAATGGTTGATTACTTATACCAGCTTTTTTAAAATTATTTTTTTCATGAAGGGAGACCTGAGGGGCACACTGCCCCCGATAGCAGCCACAGTCTGTCTCTTATGATGCACAGACTCACTTCTCCATATAAATGATGGAGAATAATTTCTCCACGGTTGCTGGGGGCTTCTCCTCCTGAGAGGAAACATTGAAGAAGGAAGAAAGTGGAATGAATCACATTTCCTGTCACTGCAGTTTAATTTCAGAGCAGCAACTGATATTATCATCTCTCTCCTCCACTATCTATTCTAAAGTTCCTCACCCTCTGCAGGTCTTGGTTGGTTGGTAGATAGTGTAACCCAATCCCTTATCCCAGAGCGATCTTAGTTCCTAGAAATTATACGTGTCTCAGGCTGCATGTGTCCACTGAAAGCTACAGTTGGGCAACAAATAACCAAGTGGATCATTTGGATTTCTTACATGGTTCTCCATGCCTCCATTGTGTAGTATGAGCCGTCCTCCTATCTCTTGCCAGTCAATTACCCCTGCCAAAATGGCAACTTGTCCACTAAAGGAGTCCAGGTGTCTTGACAGCAGCTCATAGTTTAATGATATCTTGCTTTGGTCCCTGAAAAAAAGTATTCCCTCTTTAGGGACCACTCCCTCTAATCTGGAAGAATGTAACACTGAGAAAGTGTGAAGTATCAAGCAATTAGTCCCTCAGTAGGTGATGTGAAAATAAGCCACAGGATCATTTGATGATTATGTCCCACATCCAAGAGTGTATGATTGGAATTGGCATTTGGCGCAATCCCCATCACTCCCCTGGCTATCAGAAAGGGCAGCCCTGTGTCCACCTCTTCCACCATCAGTGTTAACCTGCATAGAAGAGCCACCACTGAAGCTCTTGGTAATTTGGGTGCTCCTTTCACCAGTGCATTTACGATGGACTGGATGAATTACATGTCCTCTGGACCTTCCTAGAAAAGAAAATAATCTTCTAGGGCATCTTCTAGACTCATGTAATATGTCCATTCCAGCATTCCCAGCTCTATGAGCCTTTTTGCTCATTCCTTTTTTTGTCTTACAAGGAAAATCAGGTACTCACACTTCGCCAAGCATTGGCCGTTGTTGTCTCAGGGCTTCTCAAGGCCATGCCACCAGTGAATTTGCCCATTCCCTATGGTCTTTTACAGGGCATTAAAGCCAATGTCCTAAGAAAGTACCCACAAGTCAACAAATTCAGTCATACATCCTGTCTGTCCTTAATCAATACCCTTTGAAATTCAATCCCAGGAGTTCTCTTCTGGATCTGGAAGGTATATGTTAGCAAATTCCTGCAGCTTCTTTGGGTTGTAATCTATTTTCATACTTATCAGGCCTAGCATATCCCCAGCCTACGTGCACTGAAATGTAACCCTAGTTATTGGCCTGACTTATGGGGGATGAAGCAGCAGCAGCTCTTGAGGGCAATTCCTGTTGCCTTAAGGAGACAGAGGGCTCTGTAGTGCATTCCTGTAGTGGGGAAGCAAATAGGGAAAGTACTATTTGAAAGAGTTGGGTAACATCTTCAGGCACAAATGGTTCAGGTGAGTCTGTAAAGCCAGGCTTTTCAAGGGCTTCCTTCCCAGGTGTTCCCATTTCGTGTTTCAGATTTCAAGGTTTTCTACATCAGGTTGAATCCTTAGCATAACAGATCTGCCAGGCTCGAGAATGTACACATCTTGGGAGCTCTGTGCCACCAACTATTAGCCCATGTACTTTATATCAGCTGTGTCTGCTTTTTCATTGCAGGAAATAATACCGAAGAAGCATCTACCAAAAAGACCCTCTGACCCTTACTTAGCCTTTAACTGTTTATTAACCACCCTCAGTTTCTCATTATCCCTCTGCCTAGTGTCAATACGATTTAATCATAATCATCCCACTCCACCGTCCTTGTAGGTGTTGTTACTCTCAGACCTTTCCAGTGTTTGAATCATCTCACTGGCAAGGGCATTCATCTCCACCAGGCTTTTCCCCAAGTTACCAACAGTGTAATCATTAGCAATGAGTCCATGACTTTGGGCCAGGCACCCTCCTTGCCCCACATTTCACCCTGTATGTGGCTCTTCCTTCCAGCTGGGCAGTGAGTGATGAGGATCCCAAAAACTCATCTCAGTCTATGTCCTTGCTATGTATGTACAAAAATGAGAAATGTAAATTGTGTTTAAAAACCTTATCTCATTACATACTTTCTCAAACCACTCTTTGAGTGTCATTTTTGGGTCCTCCAAGAAGCTGAGATAAAAATGGAATTTGATGTGCAAGATATTTACTGCGGAAAGTACCTGAGGATGATCAAGAGGAGAGGAGAGGAGAAGGAAGAGAAGTAGGCAGAGAGAGCCTTCTGATCACTAGGTGAGTCTGACATCACAAAAAAAAAAGAAAAAAAAAAAGGAAAGGAGTGATGATCGAGTAGAAAGAGCCCCACACAGAGTGCCACGCTAAGAAAGCCTCAGTCAGACATGAGGAGCCAAGGAACAAAGATGAGCCGTTGCAGAAAGTGAAAGCTAGGCATGAATTGTTCGGTTCTAATACCCACTCACATACACAATTTGCTCAGCCATTGGCTTGGAGTAGTCATAGTCAGTGTGAACTCTGCAGAGGGTCTGAAGTTGCAGCAGCTGGGGGCAGGTTTCCTCTTGAAGAGAAATCTAAGTGTACACTTAAGGTAGTTTGAAATAATGAAAAAAAGAGAAGCATCAGCTCTAGTCTCGAATAGAATAGATTAGAGTTTCTGTTCCAGCTCAGTTTCACTAGATTTGTGATTCGTGCAAGTGTCATGATATTTATGGGAGTGTTTCCTCATGCATAATGCAAAGATAGTATTACCTACTTTATAGGTCTTAATGATTTAACATAAAGTATGTAAAATTATACAGCATGATGAATGACCTATAATCAGTTTTTTAAAGAATTATTTACCTCCTCACCTCTGCATCAAATTCCTCTCATCTACAGACTAATTTAATTTATTTGCATTTTAAGTTGGGAATAATATTAGTGTCCTTAAAAAATATAAATGCAAGAAAAAACACTATAAATACATTTTATTTTGTTAACATTTAAGAAATCTAGTTGCTTCATGTTGATAATCAAATAAATAAACCTACCAATTAGGGCTTTAACATTTGTTATGGAACATGGTACACATTCCCATTGAGGTTTAATTGTTAAGGTTTGTTTGACACATTTTAAGTGTTTAGACTGAAATCTTCACGGTTTGGAAATCATTGTACTTCTAGCACTGGCAGAAGACATGTAAATCAGCCATAAGTGTTGTCTAGACCACCTATGTGGGTGATATTTTCTCTCAGTTTATTGGATAGTTTCAATATAATATCTAATAACTATGTTTGTTGTAAACATGTCTGCTGCCTCAAGCCTGTAAAGAATTGCTTCATGCACCCCATTATGGAGTAACAGATTACAACTATTTGTCAATTTCGGCTCCATTAAAGATTATATGAAGAAAATTCCAACTAATGGCCACCAAACAACTATTTAGTTTCAATCAATAATTTGTTAAATAATTCTGTACGAGTGAATTTGTTACCAACACAATGAAAGGTTTATCTAATCTCCTTCTTTAGGAGTCTACTTTAAAACAACAACAACGGGCCGGGCGCGGTGGCTCATGCCTGTAATCCCAGCACTTTGGGATGCTGAGGCAGGCGGATCACAAGGTCAGGAGATCGAGACCATCCTAGCTAACACGACGAAACCCCGTCTCTACTAAAAATACAAAAAATTAGCCGGGCGTGGTGGCGGGCACCTGTAGTCCTAGCTACTTGGGAAGCTGAGGCAGGAGAATAGCGTGAACCTGGGAGGCAGAGCTTGCAGTGAGCAGAGATTGCGCCACTACAATCCAGCCTGGGCAACAGAGCGAGACTCTGTCTCAAAAAAAAAAAAAAAAAAAAAAGGAATCCTCAGAACAAAGAATAAAGATGATCCGCTAGTGAGCATATAGACAGTAGATAATGAGCTAGTATTGCTGGAAGACACCTTAGAGATTCTGCAGTCCAATCCCTTCATTCCACTCGTAATCAGAGAGATTAAGTAATTTGTTAAAGGTGACACGGGAAGGAGTGGTAGCAGGTTTTAGACCTGAATTCGAGTCCTGAGATACTTAGACTCATAAACTTCCCCCTTTATGCATCTGTTATGTGATTAGCATTGTGCTGAGCAACCCGGGGAACGCAGAAGGAAGACACATTATTTTCCTCATTTTCCTAAGTTTGACCAATATCAATTTTTGTGATGATAAGTCCTCATGAAGATAAAACTGTCAAACTACATTAATGTGTTACATTGAGAAAAGAAGGAGAGAAAACAAAGGATATTTATTGATCTCTTATTTCTCAAATGTAATTTTATATATTGAATCTCTTTTTGTCCTTAAATTAACTCTCTGAAATGGTTTGTTTCATTTCTGTCATTTAACCAATAAGGTAACTGAGGCTCAGAGGATTATGTGGCTTGTTCAAGGTTATATTGTGTATAAATGCAGATTATCTGTGACTTTAAAGCTCTTACTCCTTCACCACTTCCAAAACAGAGCATCTGATTGACAGAAGTTAGATCAGATTAGAATGATCATCTCTGAACTTTCAGAATGAATGATATCACATATACTTACATACATTATAAATGGTAAAACTAGAGCCCAAACACAGCTCTTTCAGTTTCAAATTGCCTTTCCTTTTCTCAAAATAATCCCTCTTCTTATTTTTTTCAAATAGAAGTAGTTATCAGTAAGTTTCCCAGTTGCATTTCTACATCAAATATAATCACGCAAATAAAGTGGGAAAATATGGGAAAAAAGAAAATTGAACTTTCACTGGGTCTTAGAATACAGATAACACACACACACACACACACACACACAAACACAGGCACACACATCATTGGTTGGTTAGGTCAATGGATCTACCTAATTCGTTGTTGGCATGGTGTTCTAGGAAGTCCGTGAATATTTAATATATTTGGAACCAAAGTCTTCATTTGGTTGTGACGAGTGGGAGAAGATCAATGCCTGGTGCTGTGTACATCAGCATCTTGTACAAATCTTGTAGGACTGATGTTTGCTCTGTGTATTTGTTTGTGCTATAATATTATTTAGTATATAATTGCTCTGAGAATAGAATTGTCTCCTATAAGCAAGTGTTTATAGACACCTAAACGATGAGAATATTCCAAGAACAGGTCACCCAGAATATTCCCAGAACATAACTCTTCAGGCAGGCCATAGGTTTTAGAGGAAAGATCTTAAAATAAAATGGGCTCTTAACTGGGGATGTGACTCAGTCTTTGCTGTTACTCTAAGAAGATCAAGACACTCAGGAGATAATTTCTTCACTAAGGCAGCCATAAACTTCAAGGAAACCACATGTAAGTGTAAGATGGTTTAATGATTTTCATGTGTTTATTTATTTTTGTCTTTCTCTGCCATCCATTTAAAAATTTGTATCTTGTGGCCAACAAGCATGTGAAAAAAAAGCTTAATATCACCGATCATTAGAGAAATGCAAACCAAAACCTCAATGAGATACCACTCGTACCAGTCAGAATGGTACGAGGTAGTCATACCATTAAAAGTCAAAAATAATGAGTTTTTTAAAAGTCAAACCTATTAAAAAGTCAAAAACAATGAAGGCTGTTAAGGCTGCAGAGAAAAGGGAACACTTACACACTGTTGGTTCTAGTGTAAATTAGTTCAGCTATTGTGGAAAGCCGTTTGGTGATTCCTCAAAGAGCTAAAAGCAGAACTACCATCCCACCCAGCAATTCCATTACTAGGTAGATACCCAGAGGAATATAAATAATTCTACCATAAAGACACATATGGTCAGGCACAGTGGCTCCAGCCTGTAATCCCAGCACTTTGGGAGGCCAAGGCAGCTTGATCACCTGAGTACAGGAATTCAACAGCAGCCTGGGCAACATGGCAAAACCCCGTCTCTACCAAAAGTACAAAAAATTAGCCAGGTGAGGTGGTACACTCCTGTGGTCCCAGCTACTCAGGAGGCTGGGGATGGGAGGATTACTAGAGCCTGGGAGGCAGGGGTTGCAGTGAGCTGAGATGCACACTGCACTCCAACCTGGGTGGCAGAGTGAGACCCCACCTCAGAAAAAAAAAAAAAAAAAAAGACGCATGCAAGCGAATTTTCATTGCAGCACTATTCACAATAGCAAACAAATTGAATCAACCTAAATGTCCATCAATAAGAGATTAGACAAGAAAATGTGGTACATATAAACCATGGAATACTATGTAGCCATAAAAAAGAATTAGATCATGTGTTTTGCAGGAACATAGATGGGAGGTGAAAACTATTATCTTTAGCAAACTAGCACGGGAACAAAAACCAAATACTGCATGTTCTCACTTACAAGTCGGAGCTAAATGATAAGAACTTATGAACACAAACAAGGAAACAACAGACACTGGGGTCTACTTGAGGTGGAGGGTGGGAGGAGGGAGAGGAGCAGAAAAAAATTACTGTTGGGTACTGGGCTTAATACCTGGGTGATAAAATAATCTGTATAACAAACCCCCATGACACGTGTTTACCCATGTAAGAAAAAAACCTTCACATTTACCTCCCAAACCTAATATAAAAGTTTTTAAAAAATCATGTCCGTTTAGGCTAAGAGTAAGCAAAGATCTTTGCTAAACAGCACAATTGGTCAAGACTAGAATATCAAGGAGACACAGTACAGGGGCAGGAGTGATGTGGTAATGACGGAATTAATCAAAGTGAGAGAGCAAAGAAAGAGATAGTCGGGTAGATAGTAGAAGTTTTCCTTAATGAGCTGATTCTTCTTCATCATAAAACATTTTTCTTCTGGGATTAAGAAAAATAGATTCTTGAAGGTGCTTGGTCTGGATATTTTCAGAACCGTGTGTGGATGTTACTAATGTAGCCAGAAAACAAGATAAAGTCTAAATGAAACAACACACTTTCAGAATTACTGTGCAGATTGAAAATTGTATCCCTACGCTGATCAGATAGAGGATAAATAGGATCAGCCCAATTATGTAGTCTCCAAAATAGTAAACTAAAATGTTTGAATGTTTTAAGAACTTGTTATTGTCTCAAATATTATTTTTAATCATTCAGTACATTCATTTTAATTCTGACTCATAAATTGTATGCTCTTTAGTTAGCATTCCATTCTGTTTGAATCTTTGTATTTGTATTTCTGAACAGTAATTGCAGTGCTAAACAATTACGTTAGTTTTCAAAGACAGAGATCTTCTCATGAGTAATTCAAGCACACAAAGTGAATTATTTTTACAGTGGGTTAGGATTAATCTTTGTGGTGTTGCCCTAGTATACTCTGCGGATTTAATTATTATTAATCTGGATAAGTTTTAACCTTAAAAACATTAATTTAACTCACCAGGTCTCCCGGCTCATTAATCTCCTCAATAATGCCACTTAGGATAAAATGGCTCATCAAACAGTAGTGATTCAATCATAAATATGTGGCAGTAGAATAGCAGCATTGAAGGCTCATAGGATTCACTTCTCTGCTTTATTTATCTTTAATAATATCAGTCATTGTTGGAAATTTTCCTACTTCATTAAAAATAACTACCTATTAATATGACATTTATATTTTACACACACACACACACACACACGCCTCTATAGACAGTGTAAAAATGTCAGAGAAGCTCACTTTCCTCATCTTGAGAATAGACATACCACATGCCCTCCCTGTTTTAGAAAGTGTTTGAGATTGATGGTGCTTCAATGGATAAAGTGTAATAACAATGTAACCTGGTATAATTATTGCTTTTGTTAAGAACTGCCTTGTTTTCTAATCATAAAGATAATCGTTTCAGTTCAAAGATACTTTTGCATGTAATATTACTGGGTGCCAGATATTGTGTTGGTGTGCTTAATACATATTATGCAAACTCTTTACTATAGCTCATCAAGATATTTGTCATTATTTCTAATTTTCATACAAGGAACTCGAAGAGACCAAGTGACCTTCTGACAATCAAGTAAGTTGTGGAACCAAGGTTCATAACCAGATCTACTTCTAAAGTGGTTGTTAGTTCCACTGCACTTTTTTGCATTATTCTTCTGCTTGGACATGAGTGTAATTTGTATTCATGCAATTGATTCTCATGTTTAAAAAATGATATTATATTGCACTATTTTTGTTATGGAATTGGTACCAAAAATAACCACCATTTTATTTCAATATCAATATGTGCTAGCAGTGCTATATATAAATCTTATCAGCTAAGTCTCAGAGCACATGGTCCTGACTTTTTTTTGATTGGTCTTGCTTTGTTTTTACAGATGGAAAAAACCTGAGTATTGGAGAACTTAGTAATGTATGAGTATGATGCCTAAATTATACTTACAGATAATAAGATGTGGCAGAAATGGGCTTCAAACTCTGATCTATTTGACTCTGAAGCTCCAACTTTTAATAATCTTATTATATGAAAGTTTTCTCTAAGCTGAAACATGCCTTGCACACATTAGTATTATAGAACTTTTGATTTTTAATCTCTTGCAGTTTGTAAGTAGCCTTTGATTTGAGCTGTTGAAGTGGATATCACCTCCTTGGTATGAATTTTTTTATCCTAATTTTGCTTTGGCTGTGGTCACATTGACAACTCTTTATGGCAGAGTGATACAGCCCCAGAGAGAGCCAGAACTGCCTGGTAGATCATCCACAAAGCCCAGCTACATGGAGAGCCAGTGATTTACAATCTGTAGCAGACACAGAAATGAGAGGATCAGTTGGACTGCAGAGCCTATTGAGATATGTAGAAGACCTACTTTCACACACGATTTATGTCATTTGGGGCAAACAACAGGTATCTTTCTAAGGCTATGGACCAGACATTTTTGGACCAGTGAATGATAGTGTCTCAGGATTTATTCCTATAGCTCACTCTTTCTCTTTCTACATTCTGTCTCTAGTTTTTCAGCCTTGCTGATTGAAATATCTCTGGCTTCAGATTTATCATAACAAACAGAACTTGGTAGGAAAGCTACAGCCATCTGTTTTCTATAAATTAAATGTTTTGATTAGAGACCCCCTATAGGATATACATGTCAGAAAGGCAAAATATACTACTTATGCGAAAGAACATTATTTCTTGCTATGGCTTAAATATGCCAGGCTAGGAAATTGCCTTTAACTGGTAATTCTCTGTTTTATTGTTTTCTTTGGAAACATTAGAATTACTTATTATGGAGATGATAAATCAGTGTGTTGGTTGCAATTTTTAGATGGGAAATTGGAGGAAAGTCTAAAGACCGAGAAAGAAGAGGCTATAGTTTCATTTTTTCTATTGGGTCAAAATGAGAATTTTATTATCCTTGGTTCTGAAATAATTTTAAAAAATTGAAAATAAAATAAGGAACATTGAAAATAAATGCATTTCATGATCAAGGTTTTAAAATTTTGATTCCCAATTATTGTTTACCATGCAGATTTACATTTTATTGCCAGAACCCAATCAAATATTGTCTGTTGCTTTCCTTGATTTTTAGTAGAACAGTACTCAGCCATTTTTAACCCTTTGAATTCTAGGGCTTTTTTGCTTATCTGTGGTGGTGGATGTCACGAAAAATATACACGGTCCTTTTTTCTTTAGCTCATCAGCTATCGTTAGTGTTAGTATATTTTATGTGTGGTCCAAAACAATTCTTCTTCTTCCAGTGTGGCCCAGGGAAGCCAAAAGGCTGGACACCCATACATCTAATTGTTTCTTGAGAGCTGTCAGGGAACTTGCTAAATGTTCTTTGATTCTTTCTCAGAGAGTCTGCATCTGAGTGAGAGCAAGAAAGGTTCATAAAAGGTATGTTCATATAAATTGGGGAAATAGATTTTCCTCCTATTGCTGTTTTTTGGTCCAAAATAAGAATTACAATAATATCTGTTTGAATTGGCATAAACTCTGAAGATACCAGTAATAATATTTCAGAGAGTGATTTTACCCCAAATATACATCTTGACAGGACCACTGACATGGAATTAGATCAACAAGTTTAAAACAATGCCAACACTAACATTAATTCACTGGCAGCCTGGACATCGGTCTGTCCCTTAACACAGGGCAGTGAAATAGAAAAAGGAAGGAAAATTATCTCTCTTTCCTGATGATATGGCTCTAGATCTAAAAAATCCTAAAGACTCCACCAAAAAACTCCTGGACCTGATAAACAACTTCAGTAGTTTCAGGATACAAAATCAATGTATAAAATCGTAGCATTTCTGTACCTCAATAACATTCAATTAAATAGCCAAATCAAGAATGCAATCCCATTGGCCGGGCGCGGTGGCTCACGCCTGTAATCCCAGCACTTTGGGAGGCCGAGGCGGGCGGATCACGAGGTCAGGAGATCGAGACCATCCTGGCTAACACGGTGAAACCCCGTCTCTACTAAAAATACAAAAAATTAGCCGGGCGTGGTAGCGGGCGTCTGTAGTCCCAGCTACTCGGGAGGCTGAGGCAGGAGAATGGCGTGAACCCGGGAGGCGGAGCTTGCAGTGAGCCGACACCTGGGCGACAGAGCGAGACCCCGTCTCAAAAAAAAAAAAAAAAAAAAAAGAATGCAATCCCATTTACAGTAGCCATACACAAAAAGTAGGAATATATCTAATCAAGAAGGTAAAATATTTTTACAAGGAGAGCTACAAAATACAGCTGAAAGAAATCATAGATGACACAAAGAAATGGAAAAACATTTCATGCTCATGGATTGGAAGAATCAGTATTGTTAACATGGCCATACTGCCCAAAGCAAACTACAGATTCAATGCTATTTATATCAAATCACAACATCATTTTTTACAGAATTAGAAAAAAAGCTATTCTAAAATTCATAGGGAACCAAAAGAGAGTCCAAATAGCTAAAGCAATTATAAGCAAAAAGAAAAAAGCTAAATACATTATATTACCCAATTTCAAACTACACTACAAGACTACAGCATGCTACACTTTTAGCATACATTCTAAAACAGTATGGTACAGGTACAAAAGTAGACACATAGATCTATAGAACACAATAGAGAACCTAGAAATAAAGTCACACATCTACAACCAACTGCTCTTCAACAAAGTACATAAAAATAAACATGGTGAAAGGACCTTCTATTCAAGAGGTGGTGCTGGGAAAACTGGCTAACCATATGCAAAAGATTGAAATTGGACCCATACTTCTTACCATATAAAAAAATTAACTCAGGATGGATTAAAGGCTTAAATGTAGGACCTCAAACTATACAAATCCTAGAGGAAAACCTACATAATACTCTTCAGAACATCAGCAAAGAATTTATGACTAAGTCCTCAAAAGCAAATGGAACAAAACCAAAAATTGACAATTGGGACCTAATTAAACTAAAGAGCTTCTGCACACACACAAAAAAGAAACTATCAACAGAGCACACAGGCAACCTACAGAATGCGAGAAACTATTTGTAAACTATGCATCCAACAAAGGACAAATATCTAGAATCTACGAGGAACTTAAGCAAATCAACAAGAACAAACAATAAAACACATAACCCTATTTAAAAGTGAGCAAAGGACATAAACGGATACTTAAAAGAATATATACAAGAAGGTATACAAGCAGTCAAGAAACATGACAAAATTCTCAACATCACTAATCATCAGATAAATGCAAATCTAAAGCTCTGTGACATACCATCTCACACTAGTCAGAATGGCTATCATTAAAAAGTCCAAAAATAACTGATATTACCATTCCCAGTGGTATTGCACAGAATTCCCTTTGATAGAATGGAAACATCATGCTTACTTAGAGTTTTACGCTAATATAGTTTCTATGATAGTGACAATAGAGAAAATGATGCTGTCAGAGTTTCAAAAAAAAATTATGTTACCTCAATAATCTAGATAGCTATTTTAAATTCTCCTGGATATGAGGTTATATAAAATAACATTTGAATATACAGTATTCCTATATTAATTTAGTTCTATAAAAATTATCAATGCATACACTTTGTTGCTTCTGATCCACTTTTTTTGTTTGTTTTTGTTTGTTTTTTAGACAGAGTCTCACTCTGTCACCCAGGCTGGAGTGCACTGGCGCGATATCAGCTCACTGCCACCTCCGTCTCCTGGGTTCAAGCAATTCTCCTGCCTCAGCCTCCTGAGTAGCTGGGTTTACAGGTGCCTGTCACTACGCCGGGCTAATTTTTTGTATTTTTAGTAGAGACAGGGTTTTGCCACGTAGGCCAGGCTGGTTTTGAACTGCTGACCTCAGGTGATCTGCCTGCCTCAGCCTCCCAAAGTACTGGGGTTACATACATGAGTTACCGCACCCGGCCTGATCCACCTTTTTATATGCAGGTATATGCATAACAAATTTTCAGTTTCAAAATCTGCCATCATATTTGATCTCTATTTTTCAAGACTAAAATGATTATTACATCTCAGAAGCTTTGTTGGCTGGCACATCAGGACTTAGATGAGCCATTTAATCTTTAATTGTGGGTGTTATAGATTAACATTTTGAAGAATGAAAAAGGGTATATATTATCTAAGCTGCTGTTTTCACATTAAAATCAGCATAAGTTTGGACATGTCTTCATAATTAGAAAACCCATTATTTAGGATTATAGGTTTAAAACATGAAAACAGCCACCTTTTACCAAGCAGGATATTCTGTGATAAACAAATGTTGCTCTTTCTGGCAGCTGTGGACATATGAGTGAAGTTGGCCTTATGTTTGTTTCCTCTAAGCCCTCATGTCTACTGGACATCCAGTGCCCTCATGGACCTCATCATTGAGTAGGGTTCTGAAAGAGTTCCCTACATTGTGGGGGGTTCCTTAAATATAGAGATTTCTACCACTCAGGATTCCATCAAAGACTTATTTATTAGAGGCTCTGCTTCCATTGGGCTTTGAAGTCTGCATGATGTTGAGGAGACAACTTGGACTTGGGCATATAAAACAACTGGGTTCGAATTCCCACTCAGTTGGCTGACTGTGTGGCCTCAAGCCAGTTCCTTAACCTCTCTATTTCATCTCCCTCAAAAAGATCACTTTAATGATGTATTCATACATTCAACAAATGTATGTTTGAGCCCTGTAGTAGTCAGGATTCTCCAGAAAAATAGAACCAATGGGATGTATAGAAAGACAGATAGTCATTTTAAGAAATTGACTTATGTGTTTGTGGGGACTGAGAAGTCCAAAATATGCAAGGTAGGCCTGCAGGCTGGAGACCCAGGGACAAGCTGATGTTGCAGCTCAAGTCAAAAGGCAGTCTGCTGATAGAATTACTTCTGCCTTGAAAGAGGTCAATCTTTTTTCTCTTAAGAATGTCAATGAATTGGATGAGGATCACTCATATTGTGGAGAATAAACTGCTCTACTCAAAGTCTACTAACTTAAATGTTAATCTCATCTTTAAACATATCTGCACAACAACATTTAGACCAGTGTATTTCACCAAATATCTGGATACCATGGTCTAACTAAGCTGACACATATGATGAACCATCAGAAACTTCTTCTCTGAGTTGAATACTCTCAAAAGCTCTGAGGGTTGATCAGTTAACAATACAAGACGTACAATTTGTGGAACTTATATTCTACCAGATGAAGTGAGATAATGAACAGTAAAAAATAGTAAATTAATTAATTAAATGGTAATTTACAATGTGAGAAGCCATATGGAAAAGGAGTGGGGTGGAGGCAGATTAGAAATATGGAGTACAGGGGAGAAAACTTACCTGTGAGAAAAGACAGAAAAGTGGAATGGGAATTAGCCTTGTGGATATCTAGGAAAATGGAGTCCCGGGTAGGGATCACCCTAAATCAATTAACTCATGTAAAACTCCTGGGATAGAATGTCTGGCATATAGCAGGTGGTCATTAAATATGACTTTTTCTATTCTCCTTAGAGACATAAAAGGAGCTTAATAGTACTTAAAGTCATGAAATATTGGAACAGGAAAAATTCCTTGAAATGATCTCATGCAACCACCTCATTTAACAAATGAGCAAATGAAATGTTAGGAGTGAAATATCTAACTCAAATTCAAAATTGTTTGTGACAGAATCTTATCTTGTATGCATATCTCTTAAATTCTGAATTCTTGTTTTAGCCATTTAACCATAGCTCTTGTAATGCAAGTTCTAAAATCAGATAACACATTTGGATTTTAATATGAACCTTAATGCTTTAACAAGGGTAGAAATGAATATAGGGATTCAAAGGCTGAGATAGATTGAAGGGGAAGAAAACCTGACTGGGAAGAGGTGTTAGGATCTCTTTAATCTTCCCCTGCGTGGGAGTTGACTGACCATTCAGAAGCCAGGGCAGAAGTGAAGGCTTATTTCTTCTTGCTTTCTTGAGAAAAACATAATTGATGGAATCCATCAACCAATACTCTACAACATGGGAGTGATATACCTCTTTGTAAACAGATATCCATTGAGCAAATTTTTCCCAACTTCAATCAGGAGCAGGTTAGGCTTCTCTTAGGTATTTTTTTTTTTCCACCCAAAATTTAGAGGTTCCCTCAGCTATGACCTGTGTTTATGAATAAACCCATGGTGGTCCTTCTGCTGATAAATGAAGGGCAACACCAATGAGCCTCTGCCTGAATACCATTCTGTGTGTCACCACTGGGTCATAATATACCATAAATAACACTTGCTGTTTGAGAAGCTGGATTGAAGAATTCAAAAGGCATTTTTCAGGTTTATGAACATCAATTAATATTCATCCATCTGTCTCTCTGCACTTCCTGCTTTTCCACATATGCAAATAAGACTGTCAATTAGTCTGGAGGCTGTCAGGCCATTAAAGAGTCCTCTGTTAAAATATGTTTGCAATGCATATGCTTTTTGTTTTCTTTTCTTAGGAAAGATCTTTAAGAAACTGAAGTTAAAGTAAAGAAATATGATCTTTAGTTACATCAGAGTTGATCTCTGCATCCTCAACAAAGATGATAAAATGTTCTGGGGCAGGACACATTTGAGGTAAAACCTTGGTAAACCTCCAAATCAAAGGAATGAAAAGGATACCATTTAAGGGAGAGGCAGACATGGAATCAAGGGATACACATTAAACATATGCCTCAGTATCATTATTAAATTACTGATTAATATTATTTAATAATGCATATTAACTAATTGAGAGTGAATATGCTTGTTGACCTCTCACTGTATAATTTCCACATCAGATCCCTTGATATCTGTAACCTATTAGTTTTATAGGCATGTCATTATTATTAAATTACAGTTCTAGGTGTCTTAGGGAGACATGAGGTGAAGATGATATTAGATATAAAACATGGCCATTCCACTGTTTTTATAAAATAGCATCTCTGTTTAATTTTGTCAGTTAACATTTTCATATAACACATATTTCAACATTAATGAGAGTTTATGCTCTGATATGATTTGCTACAATATTATTAGCATCCATGTGTCACCTAATGAATTATAGCCTACAATTGCACAATGCAATAGATTCAACACCATTTAAATGCTTTATCCAATCCCCTTTCACTGTATGTATTTTCACTTTTTTTCTTCTGACATTTACTTTAGCAATGGTATTTAATTTACTAGTTGAAGCCATCTCCATAGTCATTAAACTTCCTACACTACTGATTACAAAGTAGAGATTATGATATAAATACATTGACAAGCATTCTTGTCAATAATTCTCTCAGAATTGAGCATACAGCTTTCTTATTTCTTAGACATGGTTGATTAATCATTGATTAACTCTGTTTCCAGAATGCTAAGTTATTTTTTGTACATTTATACTTGAACATCAATCTGTTCCTAAACTTTGTGTAAGCATCTGATTTAGGCTCTGTAGTTCAACTTCCAGATTAAATGGCATCGCTCTTTCTTTCTGAATATAATGCAACAAATTTACTATAGGACCTATTCTCTGTATCTGTGTATTGGAGGGGAAGAGGTAAGTGTTCGCTCTGTCTGCGCTCCTGGTTGTCTTAAATCTAGTCAAGATGACATTGCAGTTGACATGAGAATAGTGAGGATGTTCTCAGAGTGTTGTTTCAGGCCCAGTTAACCAGTTAACCAGTATCTTAGCCTGATTGTATCATAAGCTACATATCTTGTCTAATGATAGGTTATAAAGGAAGGAAATCTTCTTTGATTAGGACAAACATAATTTAATAAATAGATGTTCACTCAATGTACATGCAATATACTTCTTAGCTTCTGAATTCCTGTTTTAGCCATTTAGCCATAGATATTTTAATGCAAGTTTGAAAATCAGGTAACACATTTGGATTTTAATATGAACCTTAATGCTTTAACTAGGGTAGTAAAGAATATAGGAATTCAAAGAGAACACTTGATTTGGAGTCAGAAGTTGGTTCCAGAAATCTTTTCTGTCAATTGCTAGCTTTGTGATTTTGTGAAGAGAATTGAACTCTGAGATTCAGCTCTTTGCAAGCAGGTGGGTACAGGGAGTACATGCACTAACACATTCATGCAGCCTACTCACGTTTTTCTTATTTATTACATAGGGTTGTTGTAAAATGCAAATGAAAACTTAATATGAATATTTTGTTAACCATGAAGCATCATAATAAATTAAGCTGCCATTCGTACTCTCTTCACTGCCAATCATGGCCCCCTCGTTCTTCCTAGAGCATGTCAAGCATGGGTCTTTCCACTTACTGTCTTTTTGTGCCTGTAACCACTTCCTAGGGCTGCCATAACACAGCATCACAAACTGGCTGGCTTAAATAAGAGAAATTTCTTGTCTGGCAGTTCTGGAGGCCAGAAGTTTGAAATAATCAAGGTGTCACCATGGTTGTTTCCTTCTAGGAGCTGTGCAGGAAGGATCTCTTCCAGGCTTATTTGCTTGGCTTACTGATAGCCATCTTATCCCTGTATTTTTCCTCATCTTCCCTCTATGTGTGATCTGTCTGTGTGTTCTAATTTCTGCTTTTTTGTAAGGACATCAGTCATATTGAATTAGTGCCTTCCCTAAAAGGCTTCACTTTAACTTGATTTTCTCAGTAAAGTTACTCTCTCTAAATAAAGTCACATGCAGAGTTGCTGGGTGTCAGGATACCAACATACATTTTTTGGGAAAGCACAATCCTCAACAGTCCCCGAAATGCTACATGATTCCCTCACTTATTTCCGATTTTTATTTTCTTCAGTGATTTTTTTTCTGGCCACTCCATTTAAAAACACACCTCAATTCCCCAACCTACATATGCACACTTTCCTTCTTTCCCGCTTTGATCCAGTCAATAGCATTTACTAATCTTTGACATACTATTCACTTCACTGATTCTCCGTGTTTATTGCCTGACTCATTCTGGTAGATTAAAAGCCTTATGGGAATAGAGCGTTGGTCCATTTTGTTCAGAGCTCGCTCCAATCACTAGAACAGTGTCTGGCACGTAGTAGATGCTCAATAAATGTTTGCTGAATGTTATCTTATGTTTTATATATTCTCTGGCCTTTGTGAAATGTGTAAAGATGATACTATCTGGGAAGTCAAATTTTGATTTAGATAATATTCCCTCTTCGTATCTCAGTAGGTGAGAGCACCCAACATACCTGTAAAGATTGCATTAAACAGCCTACTACTCAACAGCATTTTATGTCCTATAGGGTGTTTAAGTTCATTGTGTTATTCAGGTAGAGTTCTAACTTGGAAAAGCAAAAGCAATAAGGATTTCAGGCCATGATGTGTTTCATCTTTTTGAAAAAGGTATCCTGAGGTTTATAATATTGGAAATATTCATTTAGGTAGCATTAAAGGCAGGATAAAAAATTTAGGGTACCAGGCACCAGGTGGTGGTAAAATGAAACGGGTCATTTCCCAGCTCTGATATATTCGTTCAGGGAACTAGAGAGTCTCCGAACTCACTGCTTGTAACCCTTGCGTACCATGCTGGATTCACTTAGCAATAGGAGGCATTAAAATAATTATGTTTCTCCACCCAGAATTTGGCTTCAAGATCACTTCTAGTACTTTAGCCTTTCAGTGCCATGATTTTAGAAAGAAATGAAAAAAAAGTTTTGGAATTTTCTTTTCTTCAGCTCTTCCCCAGCAAATGAAGCTCATAAAGGTGCCAGTGACAAAATAACATCAGTTATCTGGTGCTCTCAGCTGAATATAGCTGTTGTTATTGTTGGCTGATATGGCCCTGGGGAAAAGACATTTTAGAAAAACTAAATCTACACATAGCATTACTATAATAAAGCAACATTTAGCAAAAAATCAACTTTAAGAACACTACGTTAAGGCTGGAAGCCAACTTACAGCGAAGGCTGTGTAAAATCTATTATTTCAATACTATCTATCTGTAACGAACCCAAGTACTGCCAAGGCTAGGTGTGAATTCAAACTATTGCCATTTTCTGGCACAGGCTGCATAGTATATGAGAAAGAGCTTGGGCTTGTGAGTCTAACAATTGCAGCCCAGCCACTTACTGCAGTGTTAGTCAAGCCTCTGACTTTCAAAATCTCTGTTTTTTCCATCTTTAAAATGGTGCTAACAGTATCCTCCCCAGTTGTGCGTATGAAAACTAAATTAGATTATTTGGAGAGAATGTGAAGCTAGTTCTATTTCTGCTATTCTGATGATTGGTGGTATATATTTGCCACTTCCTTAGCCCATCACTATGGCTTATTTCTCCATTTTAGCAAGTATGCATTGCAACTATTTATTTCTGTAGGTTGGGTGACCATGAACACATTAATTAAGCTTTCTGTAATTCAAATTTTTTCATCTGCAAAATTGAAAATCAATGGCAATGATATTAATGATAAAATCCAACATCCATAGGGTGCATCTATGCATAAGGTGCTGTGCTAAATTTTATCACAACCATGTAAAATTGATCCCAATGTGGCTCTATATTCTAGAGGATGAAACTGTCTTTCAGAGGTTAAATAACTTGACCACAGTAATACAGATAGAAGGTGGTAAAAATATAAAGTACCTAGCATAGTATCTGGTAGAGATTCACTGAACTTGGTGTTGCTATTATCATTAATATCATCAGTATCATGACCCTTGAATTCATGTCTTCCATAATCTCCTCTACCAATGTGTGATCTCTGTTAGAACAGGGAGTATGCCAAAAGCATTTTGTTTATTGTTAACTGGAATATTGCATAGAAAATAAGTAAATTAGAGAGAAAGAAAGAGAAAGGAAAGAAGGAAGGAAGGAAGGAAGGAAGGAAGGAAGGAAGGAAGGAAGGAAGGTAGGAAGGAAGGAAGGAAGGAAGGAAGACTTGGAGAAATAAAATGCACACATATTGCTTTCTTATATATTTGCCATCACATTTCTGACTTGTTGAAAATTTCAAGAGGGCTATTAGTATAGAACACGCTAGGTGTATTAACTCTCAGGGTTGGTAATGTACCATTTTCCAATGTGTCTGTACAGATGAACGTAATGACAAGTTGCTCTATTTTTTAATGACTGATGAAGTTTCCAGTGCAAAGCTTCAGCCAGAGAGCATCTAGGTGAACCCTGAATTATTTTTTTGACATAATTTTGTTGACCAAGGCTCTCTACATAGAAACTCTAAAGTTCCATTTACAGAAAGGTATCTCTCCCTTTATTGTCAGGCAATGAAAAATGGCTCTTGGAGGTTAAAGCGCAAGGTGAACTGTTGTTTTTTCTGTATATCCTTGTTTATACTTAATATGTGCTTTAACTTATCTAACACAGCAATAGAGGGGTCTTCCTGCTGCTAACGTTCCTGAAAGAGTAGGCTAAATATACTTACATCTTGCCTGAACTGCACAAACTGCGTTCCCTTAACCTATACTTTCCCTTCCAGCTATCAATTTCCTGCCTCTTTAATCCCCTTACTTTTAGGTTTTAAACATTGAAAATGTATTATATTTTTATAAATTATAGTACATATTCTGTAAAAAACCACTCTTTCATAAAATTACAAAGAAATGCTTGAAAGTAATGGAAGAAGAGTTGCTTTTTTCTCTATTATTCTAATCGGTTCATTCAGTTATTAATTCCTATCCTCTTTTAACAAACATTTATTGAGTGAATACATGCCAAGCACTGTGTTTAAAGAACTAGTAGTCTTGTTGGGGGAAGGAAGAGCAGATATTCAAATACATAATTAAAACATGGTATGGTTATTATTATAATAATTAGATTTGTAGAGTGCTGTGAAAATATGGGAGAGAAATTGATGTTTTTTGCTTGGGTGATGATGGGAGGCTTCAGAGACAAGGTGCTATTTGAGCTGGGTCTTAAAAGCCAGAAGGAAATTAAAAGAAAATAAAGGCAGAGCATGCTAAGCAATGAAAATGGCTTGAAATACTGCTGAACACAGAATATCCAGAGACTGTCACTAAAGGGAACATGGAAGATATGTTGTTTGGGAAGTACAGGCTATTAGATGAGATTAGACAGTGAATTAACAAATGTTTGATCGTTTTTAGATTCTGACCATGTATTAACCCTTTATAGAAATAAAGGACAATAATGGAAAAAGAAAAAAATGAAAGTGATCCAAATAAACTAAAATACAAATTTAAGACATACATATGTGCATACATGGAAATCATATCTTAAAATTCTAGTTTATACATATTGCAGTGTGAAAACAAATATATCTAAGTAACTAAATAATGGATTTTCTTCTGGTGGTGTTATTTGGTGATTCTTTGCCACCAAAAGAATCTACATCCCTAATTTGGTAATGAAGAAATGTGATTCCCTGAAGATATACAATGCCAAGTGTATTTTGTTGTAGCTTAATTGTTTGAAAAGTAATAATCCATATTTTGCCTGAATTTACATATATGTAAGGGGCTACTGCTTTTCATTTCTTTGGAGCTCTGCAATCAATGAAGTAGGTACAAAGAATCTGTGAAGAAACTGTGTGTCGTCAGTAATATTTAAGCCTGTGGCAGGAAGGTAAAGAACAGTGGGCCAGAATGAGAAGGAGGTCATGGGAAGTGCAACTACCTTGGAGTTTCGCTTCTTAAATCCCAAATGCCTTAGCCTCATGTAACCAGTATCTACTCTCATCTGTATTTATGCAGAAAATACTGACTAGGCAATTATCAAAGACCTCAAATCTCGTTCCCTTTTCTTCTGGATAAGTGTGGGTGCCCTTTGGTTCACAACAGAGAACTGTAGTTACTTTATGAAAGTTTAAATATCGGTCATCTAATTTAGCCTCTTGTGGAACTATAGATGTTTTTAAAATCTATTTTTTAGGAAAGATAGTATGGCAAAGTTTGCTTAAGGAAAAGGCATAAACTTGAGGCTAGCAGGCTACAGGGGCTTTTCTTTCTCTATCAACCGTCTATATATAGATGCTGAGAGCAGTGTTTCCTCACAAAACCCTCCTTTAGCTGTCAGTGATAAATTGTTATGGAAGACAGGACTCTCAAATAAATAAAAGTTTCCAGGAATTTATCTTCTCACATCTATAGTAATACACCCATGTATTTTAATACAAAAAAAATGGTAGTCCTCAAATGATCACTGTTGACAAGTTTCCTTTTAAGATTACTTAAGAGAGAGTCATATCTTTGTCATAAAATCCAAGACCATAAGCTGGCTTAAAATCTCTAACTCATTCTTCGACTTTTCTCCCTTGCTTATACTTGCAATCACTTTGGCCTAATATGAACATGGACTCCCGTAAGAAACTCTATATTATTTTTCTTCTTCAGACAAATGAAAGACTCAATTTTATCCTTGTTTGCCATCCAGCTGCCTTTTCAGGAAATGCTCTACGACCCCCTTTATTCAGGCTCGGTGAATATTAGAAACCAGTGAGAACGTATTTCAATTCAGTGAATGGCATCTGAGGGTCTGTGTGCATGGCTCTGTTTTGTGAGGAGGCAAACACAAGAATTATAATACAGTGGCTTTCAGAAAGTGTGCAGATTTGGTGAGTGTATAGTTTGGCATATAACAAAGGCATAAAGAAGAGTTCCATGAAACAGAAGGCACTATAAACCAGAGCCTGCAAATTGTCTACTTTGGCCTTTACAGTGCTAGCCTTCAGAGTATTTTTCCTGTAAAATTTTAAAATTAGTTATCAACATTGTGAATCATTAGATTTTACCTCAAAATGTGGACTTTCAGTTTTTCTGGAAAAAAAAAATAATGGGACAAGATTTATAGAGAGTAATGCATGACTGGCCTGCAAGTTTTTATTTTATCCTGGAGGTCTTAAAGGAGATTAAGATGATACTTTCAGATAATATGTTGACCATGGTATATGCCAGATATCCTATCATAAGGAACTATAATATGCCTGATTTCCTCTGAGTCAGCACATAACTTAAGAAGCTATTGAAAGATTCGATTTACAACCTAGAAATCTGTATGCTGAAAACTAAACTAAAATAAAAGCAACAAATGTGTAAAATGTAACTGTCAGTTTAAATGTATGCCTTAACTCATAAGCATGTAAAAACATTCACAAAAGCAAAAACAGTCAATAAAATATGAGAGGGAAAATATAAACTGTCCTTTGTACCACCCTATGGGAGAGAGAGAAAGCCAGAATGTGTGAGGTCTGCAGATTAGGCCTTGGACTATACATTTAGAATGTGGGTCTGGGCCATACACATCCTTGAAGGGATGAATGGGAATAAATCTAACCAGCAAGAGCAAGCAAGTGATCAAGTGAGCCAGCAAGAGAGAGAGAGAGAAAGAACTTCCCCTGTGAACGCAGGGCTTGCTCTAGGGAAACTCCCAAGCCAGGAAATTATTATAAAAAGTGGTCCTGGTTGTTATTATCTCTGTTGGAAACAGAGAAGAACCTACAATCTGAGCTTTTAAAGGATCTCTGCAGATAAAAAGCAATATAAGGTATACCCACAATCAAAAAATATAAATCATAGTAAGAGGAAATGTCCTCAGACCCACAAGGCAGCTGGGCCACAGCTTTGAAAACTTCAGCTAACAGGAGTTTTTGAATAGAGGTTGACAAAACACTATCTTTAAGATTACTATAGTCCAGAAGCCAATCATAAAATCCCATGAAAAAATCACAGTTATCCCTTGTTTTAATGATCACACCCCTTTATTTTTGTAGTTGGGGTGGGGTGCAGAGAATAAAGCATTTTCTCACAATGATTCTGTTTTATAAATGCAAGAACAAAATATAGGATTTAAGTAAGTTTCTGACTCTAACTCCATACAGGTCTGTGTTATGGCAGTCATATAAAAAATGTGAGAAGAAAAAAAGAGAGAAAAAGAAAGAGAAAGAAAAGAGAGAGAGAAAGAAAGAAAGAGAGAAAGAGAAAGAAAGAGAAAGAGAAAGGAAAGGAAGAAGAAAGATAGGGTCAATGTTATTTGGTAATTCTTTGGGTCTAGCAGAAAAAGAAGAGTCAAATATCAAGAATCTCAAAAAACTGGGCAGAAGATTTAGGTTTTTGGAAGTCAGTTCTGTTTATAGAAGGAGGGAAGTGATGTCAGAGAAAATTGCAGGGTTGATTTTCCTATCCATAGCATTCTTGGCTTTCATATATTTAACCAACATTTACTAAGCAGCTATCAAAGGGAAAACATCAAGGTTAGGCAGTGTCAGAGATACAGAGATGATTGAGTGAGTCATGGTCTATCATTTAGGAAATATGAAATTTAGTGAAGGAGATAAGAAGCTGCACAAATAACCAGGGGAGGTAACCAAGGAGGATGGAGAATGTGCTCCAATACAGTCTAGGGATGCAACTAGCTAGCCTTTTATTGCAGCAGAACATTGGGACTGTGATGGAGAAGGACTGTTCCCACCCAGTCCCAAGGCAAGGTCATTGTCCAGTTCAGGATGATACATGAAATCTGAATTTGTCAAGTTGGACTTGCTCATCCTTCCCAATCTGAAATTATAGAAAAGATGGCTTTTACCATCTTTTATGAAAAGAACCACATATTAAAAACAGCCAGGAGTGGTGGCTTCTGCCTGTAATCCCAGCATTTTGGGAGGCTGAGGCGAGAAGATCCCTTGAAGCCAAGAGTTTGAGACCAGCCTGGGCAAGAAAGCATGACCCTGCAAGAGGATCACTTGAGCCCAGGAGTTTGAGGCTGTAGTAAGCTAATATCATGCCACTGAATTCCAGTCTGTGAGACATAGCAAGACTCCATATCTAAAAATTAATTAACTAAAAACAGACAAAATATTAGCCCCCAAGTTAACCCTGGATTATAAATTTCTGCCATTCTGTAACATTAGTAATTATTGACACTTTAAGTTTTTTTGTGTGCCTCATTTCTATGAAAGAGTTGAAGGATCCATTCAGAAATGTGTTTCCTATTTAAAACCTGTAATAAAGTGTTTGATTTCCCTATAGGTGCTTTGAGGAGTGTATAAATATCAGGAGCAATGTTGCAAAGTCACAATCATCCCTCCTGGGCAGATTAAAATGGACTTTTGGGGATAATCACTGTTGACATGTTAAATTTAATACGTGGCTTCTAGTGCAGTTCCTGGCACATATAGCCATTTATAGGAGATTGTGGACCTTTCTATAGAAGAGAGATTCTTTGAGAAGAACATGTTCTAGGAAAAGGAAAACAAAAAACTAAAACTATTTGAATCTACTTCTGCTGAGATTCCACAATAGAAGCTCAAATGTGGGGTACTAGATGAACAAGAAATAGAGAAAATTCTACATATACTTGATATTTTTTTTTCCTAAATAGTAAGGACTGAAATTGTCAAACTGAATTTAGAAGGAATACTCTTCCCTTACCTAAATTTTAGAACTCTGCAGGTGGAGGTGTCAGGGCAGCAGGGAGCACTAGTTGGCTTTTATCCCCATTCAGGTCTTCCTACAATTTATAAAATATTTGGTCAGGATCTACAATACTCCTGACAAAGAAGAAGCTGCACAGAAGCCTTCTGAAATAGAATACCTGGCTGTTTGGGTTTGAAAAATAAAAAACCAGAGGTGAGGTTGGCAGGTTACGTAGGGGAAAACAGACAGACCTGACAGTTTATTTTTAAGCATTTCAAACTTTAGCGGATCAATTTTCTGAAAGGGTTTCCTTCTGATTGTTCTTTTGAAAGTAAGAACTGCCAGCGCTACAACAGAAAGTTGACACCTATTCAGTTCAGCACTTAGAAAAAGCTAAGAGGGAAAAAGACTTTCAATTCTTGTCCTTTCTATTTATTGTGGTGTTCAAAGCACTGAATAGTAGAGTTGGTGCTGAAAAGCATTTTCCATTCTATCTACTGCAAAATCTCAATGAGTCCCAATGAGTAGGGAGAGTCACAAAGTAAAACTTTTTCCAACTTTGAAAGTTTGAAGGTGCATTCTCAGAGCAAACTGAGTTGGGATATCTGATTTATTCCTGAAGCCACATGACAAAAAAAATTACAATTTTAAGTTACTTCTATACCATAATTCTATCTTGTATATTGTAATTGTTCAAATAGATTACACATTTGCTATCTCTTTTTTAAAAAGAATAAAATTTGGGAAGTCTTAATAGCCACTAGACTGAATGAATCTACTTTTCCACAAAACTCACTTAAAGTTTGATTCAGCTGTTTATCATCAGTCTTCATAATTACCTAAATTATATGAGGTTTGTTTATTTGTTTACATATGTGTCAGTGTTCTCTACCAGATTACAAACCAATGAAAGGACTCTTCATCTATCTTGACATTCTGCCTAGAATGACCAGAGTGATACTCTGTAGGTAGTTTTATATTCAATAAATATTTAATTATTGGACTTTTGCAACTATCCCCATCTTTTTGTACTTTTGAATTTGTATATTCAAATTCAGCACACATAAAGAATATGATACTAACATAGGGATGGTGATTTCTACAAACTGAAAAAAAATGATAGAGCTTCAAACTTATTTAACAAACATTTATTGAAAAGAGGCTATGCTTGACTCTGAAGATATACAGATAAATGAGTCAATCTATGAACTTTAGGATTCTAGCAGATAGAAAAGAGATGGAAATAGGTAATTCTAAAAGCATATGAGAATAAATCAATATAGGTACTACTGAGCATAGAATAGATAATTTTACATGTCCAAGCAGTACTAGACAAACTGGACATAAAAATGGTGAAGCATGTGAAATGGATAATTTGCTTTGGTCTGAAAGTCAACACTAAGTGTGAAAGCATCTGTGAGTCCTGATAAATGAGTCATTGCTGAAAGCTCTGATTAATTTGGGTCACATTAGCAGCATCATATTTATCAATATGACCACTGAAAAAGCTTGGTCGGCAATACTTCTGTTGGGCAGAGGATGAAATATTTGTGGAGGGACTAAAGAGTGGGCTAATATCCAGAATCTACAATGAACTCAAACAAATTTACAAGAAAAAAACAACCCCATCAAAAAGTGGGCAAAGGATATTAACAGACACTTCTCAAAAGAAGACATTTATGCAGACAACAGACACATGAAAAAATGCTCATCATCACTGGCCATCAGAGAAATGCAAATCAAAACCACAACGAGATACCATCTCACCAGTTAGAATGGCAATCATTAAAAAGTCAGGAAACAACAGGTGCTGCAGAGGACGTGGAGAAATAGGAACACTTTTACACTATTGGTAGAACAGTAAACTAGTTCAACCACTGTGGAAGACAGTGTGGCAATTCCTCAAGGATCTAGAAATACTAGAGTAACTAGAAATACTATTTGACCCAGCTATCCCATTACTGGTATATACCCAAAGGATTATAAAGCATGCTGCTATAAAGACACATGCACACGTATGTTTATTGCGGCACTATTCACAATAGCAAAGACTTGGAACCAACCCAAATGTCCATCAATGATAGACTGGATTAAGAAAATGTGGCACATATACACCATGGAATACTAAGCAGCCACAAAAAAGGATAAGTTCATGTCCTTTGTAGGAACATGGATGAAGCTGGAAACCATCATTCTCAGCAAACTATCGCAATGACAGAAAACCAAACACTGCATATGCTCACTCATAGGTGGGAATTGAACAATAAGAACACTTGGACAGAAGAAGGGGAACATCACACACTGGGGCCTGTGTGGGTTGGGGGGAAGGGGGAGGGATAGCATTAGGAGGATAAAAATAATGAGTGCTGCTGCTTAAAGAATTACTCAGAGTGATGAGAGCGGCAGTTCTCAGACTTGGTTGCATGTTAGAATCACCTGGAGAATGTTAGAAAGATTTTTCCATGTGCACCCCAGGCCAATTAAATCAATATATCTGGGAACTTGGCCCATATTTTTTAAACTCCCCCTATGCTTCCAATGTATAACCTAGTTTGAGAGACAATAGGTTAATGCAGTGTTCAAACTGTAATAAGCTGCAAGTCACTGGGGGAATCTTGTTGAAATGCAGATTCTAATCCTGTGGGTCTGGGGTGACGCTTGAGATTCGGCTTTCCTAACAGACTCTCAAGTTGATGGCTATGCTGCAGCTGAGTAGACAGGGCTACAGCCACTCAGGAATTTACTAGCTTTCCAATCTATACACAAACTCTTGAAGTTAGGTGGTTGGAATGGTCATGCGGGTTTTACATAATAGCTTTCCTTTTTTCTTTCCTTTCCCAGGGAACTAATCTGTATCACATCTGATCCACATATATATATATCATGGGTTTTTGAGATTTGTCTTTAGGAGCTGAGAGGATCTGGCCACAGCTTATTTGAAATATTAAAATCTGAGATATGGTTTTTGAGAACCAGATGGGGTAGGGGCCAAACTTCCTTTATATAGAAAAGGGTGATTTAAATTATTGTGAGTTGTTGTGCTTATAAAGTCTTTGTGAAAATGCCTCTATCAGTTGGCATTGTTTTGGAACTTTACCTGTCTCTCTTACAGCTACAACTATCTCCTACAATCTCTATTTAATTTGGGATATAGTATTATGGGGAAGTGACAATTGTGGCCTTGGGAGCCAGACTGCTGGAGTTCAAATTCAGCCTTAACAGCTTTCTGGACAAGAATACCCAGCCTCTCCCCGTTTCTTTACGGTGGGGATAAAAATACTACCTACTACATGTGGTTATTGTGAGGATTGAATCAGGTGGTATTTACCACAGCACTGAGAATAGAGCGTGCTGTCACTAACCCTGGATGGAATCATCACAGACTCTCTTTTCTTACGGAGACAGAGCCTAAAAGGAAATATTCCAGCCCTTCACAAATCAGGTTGCTGTTTTGAAAATTTAAAATGTGGCCATTTTTTGTTATTGAAGGTCATATATTTCCTCACTTGCATTAATTCCCCCCATGGCTAATATTTGCAGCTCATATTTTGACAGGGTTCACTCACATTAAACACGTATTTGTTAAAGAATCTACTCTATGACAGTCATTATTGCAGTTGTTGATGTTAGAGCAGTGAACAAAACAGACCAAAATTCCTGCTCCCATGAAGCTAATATTCCAGAAAGGGTAGTTGACAATGAACCAAAAGGTAGAATATGTGGTATGCTGGATGATGATGACAATGGCTGTGGAGAAAATTGAAGTAGGGAAAGGGAATAAGAAGTGACAGAAAAGAAGGGAGAAATTTAGCAATATTTTTAAAGGTAGTTAATGAAGCCCTTGCAGAGAAGATGGCATTGTGTTCACCTAAAGGAGAAAAGCAAATAAGCCCTGTAGAGATTTGAAAAAAAAAGAGCATTCCAGGAAGAGAATGACTAGCAAATGTAAAGGTTCTAACGTTAGATGGCTTAGAAAGCTGTTATGTAAACCAGGAAGCCATGCGGCCAGTTGAGTGAATAAGGAAAGGAAAAAGTAATATAGCTTGATTGGATAGACGTTCTCAGATTTGTGCATGTGTCAGAATCACCTAAAAGACTTGTTAAAACAGACTGTTTGGGGCCGGGCACGGTGGCTCACGCCTGTAATCCCAGCACTTTGGGAGACCAAGGCAGGTGGATCACGAGGTCAAGAGATTTAGACCATCCTGGCCAACATGGTGAAACCCCGTCTCTACTAAAAATACAAAAATTAGCTAGGCATGGTGGTGTGCGCCTGTAGTCCCAGCTACTTGGGAGGCTGAGGTGGGAGAATCGCTTGAACCCAGGAGGCGGAGGTTGCAGTGAGCTGAGATCACACCACTGCATTCCAGCCTGGCAACAGAGTGAGACGCTGTCTCAAGGAAAAGAAAAGAAAAAAAAAAGAGGCTGTTCAGCCTTATACCTAGTTTCTGATTTATGAATTCTAGGGAAGAGCCTAAGAATTGCATTTCTAACAAGTTTCCAGATGATGCTGTGGGAAAAAGACAGGTCACATTAAGAACCATTAGATTAGACTGAGAAATAGTTGTGGACATATAATAATGGGCCTTACAGGACATTAGAAAGGTTTTGCTTTTTACCTTAAGTAAAAAATGAAGTGACCAGAGTATTTTCATCAGAGTGGTAGTTTGCTTAATCAAATGCATAGCGTCTGCAAAATAAGCCTTTTGGAAAAAGTACAGTAAGTTAGGTGCAATGCTTCCTTTTAATCTCTGTGATGTGATACTGCTTCAAAATGTACAAAAGTTTTCAAGCAGTTCAACTCATTTGGTAAGACATATTTCACCTTATCATTTATACTAAGGAGAACTATGTTTTAACCTTCTTCACATGTCTGGTCTAATGAGATGGCATCAGCATGAAACATAATAGTAAATTAGTTCATGCTGATTTAAACTCAAAGTCAACCCAGTACAAATCTAAATCAAGTCATTCAACAACCAGTAATTTGTTTAAAAACAAAACACACACACAAACTAATCTTTTCAAATAACTTTGTTGGCATCTTATGGAGAAGATCATGGTGTTGCTGTTAACAATGTTTAAAAGTTACATTGCACTTGTATTAATTATGTCTCCTGGTGATGCTGATGAATCCTACTACTGCCATCACTTTGTTGAACCTTCTTTGTAAAATGGCTTGAATCAAGGACACCCTAAAGGGTGATTTCAACCAGTGAATCAAGGTAGTCACTAGAGCTGATGTGTCTCTCTAACCTATTTCACTCCAGTTTTTTATATACTTTTTTCTATTAGTATTTCTCTGGTTAAAAATTGCAGATCGAATGCTACCTTTATTAAGCTTCATTTGGAATTCCTTGCTTTTCCAAACAGAACCTATTTTCGAAGTCTGTTGCTTCTTTTTGTTTCTTTCTTTACATTAAGAAAATTAATTTCTTAGAAATAAATCCTCCAAGGAAGATGACTATAACTCCAAACTTAGACAAATTTAGTCCCATAATACACTGCTACCTATACATCTAATTTCCAGAACTTTCTAGGATATGTTTTTTTCCTCTACCATTTGTCCTTTCAATTAGTTTGTAAGAATACTGCATACTATATTGAGATAACATTTTCCATGGACCATATGTTTAGACCCTGAAAGCACAGAGCACTCTGACATTAGGAAAGATACTGTTTGCTCTGAGATCATGCTTTCTCCTCTTTGTTTTTACTGTTACTAAGGCTTGTGTGAAGATATTTAAGTATAGCTAAACACCATTATCCTTCATAACTCATCAGTGCCTTCCTCTTTGACTTCTTAAATTTCAAATAGTAATGGACAATTTGCCCTAAAACCAAAAGGGTTTGATTCAGCAGGTTGCAAACACTCTTTTTGTAAAATATACGAAGGGACATTTCTGAGCCCATTGAGGCCTATAGTGAAAAACTGAATTTCACATAGTAATGGACAATTTATCCTAAAACCAAAAGGAATGTCAAGAGTTGCTAACATTTATTGAGAGCTTACTATGTGGCAGGCATGGGCCATCTATGTGTTATTTACATTTTACCCCATAATATCCTAGGAGTTAACTACTTAGAAAGGCAAGTGTCTAGGCAGTGCCACACAGCTAGAAAGCAGGCAAACAAGGCTTCTGACTCTGCAATTTGACTCCAGAATTCTTAACCTCTATACTTTCACTTAAATGAGTAATTTTTTAAGAACTGGCACAGATGTTTTAAAATAACATGATTGTATTATTATTTTTAAGTACTATGTATATATACACATATATATATGCCATAAGATTAATAAACTGGAGGCAAACATGGCTTAGTGAAGAAATGATAATTTGGGTAATTATAGTAACAATGGTAGCAAAAAGCAATAATAATAATAATTGGACACATCACGTATGACAGGTCATGTGCTAAGAGTCATCCAACCTCATTGTCCCAACCATTCTGAGCAGTAAACACTATAATCCTCATGTAATAAATAAGGAAACTGAGACTCAGGAAGTCACTTTCTGAATTCACTTATCTAATAAGTGGTGGAACCATGATTTGCATCTAATTCAAGTTCATAACAATGTTCCTAAATCATTAGCACATGTGCCTCAAAATCTTGTGAGCACTAAGGCAACCACTGCATTGTGCTGGGCAATGTCTATATGCACACACTTACTTGATGCTCATAATAAACTTTGGAGGCAGGTATTATCCTCATTTTGCAGTTGAAGGAGGAGAGTCTCAAAGTGGAGCCTTGAGTCCTTGGACACATGGCTAAAGAGGAAACACCAGGATTCACTTAAGTCTACTGGTTCCTCAACTTATGCTTCTTCCAATCAGGAACCTATCAAAAGGCTAGGTTCTGTGATTATGGTTAGAGTATCCTGTCCTGTGTCCCAAATAATCACATGTGATTGACGTTGAGATAGCTTCTCTGACTATGCCTCTCTGGAAATAGAGGGTGAGCCTTATGACCGTGTGTGGAGAAAAAAAGCAACAGCTATAAAACCTGAATAAATCTGCCTCCTGAAGCAAAGGCTGGAGGGCAGCACAGAGAGTAAGAAAACAAAGAAACCTACAATGCTCCGGGAGGGTGACAATGAGTTAAACCTTTGAGGTCAATTCTCCCCCACACTCAATCAGAGACCAGATGAGGAAAATCAAAGGCAAAAAGAGACCCTGAGGCAAATAATCATGACGTATTGGCGTTGCTGCCAAAAGACCCACATGAATTAGTTGGAAGCTTCTGGTAGTTTATAAATGAAGTTCTCCAGTCCCCAAATTCAGGGAACATAAGTTATCCCTACTGGGTATGTAAGCCAAGCTAGGATTTTCTGATCTAGAGAATGTTATAATTATTCTAAAACAAATATTTTTATTTGTTAATCAATTTAATAGTTACAGTTTAAATGCAAACCACTATTTCAGTCTCCATTTTCACATATTGAAAAATAGCTCCAAAATGATACCAGCTGATGTGATTTTGCTATGTCCCCACCCAAAATCTCATCTTGAATTGTAATTCCCATAATCTCCATAATCCCCACATGTCAAGGGAGAGACCAGGTGGAGGCAATTGAATCAGGGGGTTGGTTTGCTGTTCTCGTGATAGTGAGTGAGTTCCCACAAGATCTGATGGTTTTATAAGTGTTTGGTAGTTCCTCCTGCATTTAGTTTTCCTCCTGCTACCTTGTGAAGAAGGTGCCTTGCTTTTCCTTGTGCCTTGATTGTAAGTTTCTTGAGGCCTCTCCAGCCATGCGAAACTGTGAGTCAGTTAAACCTCTTTCCTTTGTAAATTACCCAGTCTCAGGTATTTCTTTATAACAGTGAGAGAATGGATTAATACACCAGCTGATATTTTAGATTGAATGGTCCCATGCTTATTCTTACCATCTATACTCAACTCCTCCCCCACTTCTATGTTGTTTTTCTTAATCTACTAACACTTTAGTCACAAAACATTGATATTTTTACAATAAAGACTACTACTGTTTTTCATCTTATACCCCTTACATGACACTAGATATCCCTGTGTCTCTGAATTGTGGTCCTCCTTCTCATTTCCCACAATTTCCATCCTGGCCACAGATTGCATTTTCTCATTTCTCTTCACCTGTAATTATCATATGATTGATCTTCCTACCCATAGGCTATATTCTAATATAATCAACCTTAATCCAAGGGCAATATATGGTCTATAGATTGAATTTACAATAATAATAATTATTATTATTTGAATGCCCTTAGAAGTTGAATGCACTCTGAATTTAGCCAGAGTGTACCACAATCACCGCTGTTCCATGTGATCCATTTTACTCACTTTTATTACTTGTCTGGCCAGTATAGAGGTTATGAATTTTGTAAATCTGTGTAACATATTATGAAAAATGTAGCGTACTGATGAAGAATTTAGGATTAGTCAGCAGAGCTTGGTTGAGGTTACTAGCTACAATACATACCAGCTTTGTGACCTCTGGCAAATTCCAAAACTTCTCCAAGCTTCAGGTTATTTATCTAGAAACTACGAGTGCAATGGTTTCTAGTTTATGAGATTGTTGCAGAATTTAGTAAGAAAATGCATATAAAAAGGCTAGCAAGATGCATGGTCATACTAGATGCTCTATAAATATTAATCATAATTATAATTATGAAAAATCCCAAGCACAGTTACGTCATTCCTATATCAAAATCCTTTCTTATAAAATCAAAAGCTTAACCATGTTATTCCAGACCTTTCATGATCTCAGCCCAAACTATCTTTATATTTTGTTTTTCTTACTGTCTTCTTTCCTTTACCATGGCATTACACCAAACAAACATAAATTTTATATAATGAGTCTCTTTGATCAAGATGATTCAGCTGACAAAGCCTCCTCCTCTCTCATTGTTTCATCTCAATAATACCTATTCTCCAAAACAGAGTTCAAACGCAATCTTGATTTAGTTGGCTTACTGATTGCCAATAATAGAAATCAATTCATATTCTCTTAGGCAAAAAGTGATATTTACTGAATTGAAAGAGTGAAGCTGGCCTGAGAAAAGAACTGAAACCAAGTTCTAAATAATTGTTGAGATTTTCTGTTTTCCACCACTGCTTCTCACTTTATATCTGCTTAATTCTTTTTTTTCTTCTATCTGTTCCTTCTCTGCAACTTAATTCAATTGACAGATTATGCTGCCTACCACTCTGAGGTTTACATATCACAGTCCCTTTGTACTTAGAGGTGAATTCGACTCTCTTGACGTCACAATTTCAAATCCCTGGTATCTCAGTTCTACTTCGTCTGACTAGGATTAGGTCAGTCAGGATGAAGGAGGTGAAATGGGCAGGATCATTCTGCATTACTTTGGCTACAAATAGCCTACCCAATGTTGATAATGGGGAAGCTATACAAGCGTGGGGGTAGGGTATATATGGAAAATTTCCATACTTTCCTCTCAATTTTGCTGTGAACCTAGAGCTTGTCTAAAAGAGAAAGGGCAAGTAGCACATGAAAGAAGGGTAGCTGGCTGTTGGGCTGAATATACACACATTAAAGTCACCCACTGACATTTACTGATGATTTACTATGTGCCAATAGTTGTTTTGAATGCTTTCAATACTCTACTTCATTTATCCACTAGATATTATTAAGAAACTCCATTTTAGGAATAACAATACCGAATTACTGAAAGTTCCATGACAGGGTCACTAAAAAACAGTAGAATCGGGAGTTAAACAGAGCCCCTCCCTCCACTTAGCCTGTACTTGTGACTGTAATACATTTACCCCCATAATGAAACTTTCTCCAAGCTTTCAGCAGTCACAGGTAAATTTCCCTATTTCTTCCTTTTCTTTTGGCATATACCAGTTCTTACTTTGTATGATAGTAATTATTTGTGACGGGGCCTTATCTCATTCATGGCTGTGTCTTCCACAGCATCTATCACAGTCTGATGGTTTGTCTTTCCTTCATAAATAGGTTTTGAATGCATAAGCAAATCCATGAGTTGCTACTTGGCATTGTTGAAGTTTATTCCTAGTTGAGAACAATAATAATGTCTATAGTTACTGAGGGTCCTCTGAGCATAGGCTCTGTGCTAAGTGCTTTGCACACAGGATCTCATTAACTCCTTTTAGCCTTGTGAGATACAGCCAACTGATAACCCCATTTTTTTTCTGATAAGAGAACCTGGGCTTTGCATGTAGCTAGTATGTAAAGGGAGAGTTTTAGGACCCAAAATCTCATCTTCCTGACTGTAAAACTATCCTTAAATTCTGCGACATCCTATAAATTCATGTTTACTTTTTCACATTATAAGATTATGTATCAGAGGTAAAAATTTGGGCCAATATTTCTGAATGATTAAACATCCTGCTTAATTGGATATTATATTTAAATTATATTTTATTAAAATCATAATTTTAGAGTTCTAGCGAAGTCAGAAATGATTCACCAGAGAAAATGTTTTTAAGAATAACTTGAATTCTGGGCATTTGTTTTTTAATATGCCTACTCTCAAATATTTAGCTAAAATTCCACAGTCTTGAATTGCTCTCCCAAAAACCAGTAGTTTCAGCATGTCAGAAAGCACACTTTAAGTGTCTTTGGTTTAAACAAAAAGTTGCACTGTGTTTTGATTAATGAGCCTTATTTTTTAAAATTATACTTTAATTTCTGGGGTACATGAGCACAACACGCAGGTTTGTTACATAGGTTTACATGTGCTGTGTTGGTAAAGCAACTAAAGCAGGATAGTAAGCAGACATCTACAAGATCAAGTTCTCCAATGTCAAGCTAGAATCTTTTTCTTTAATGAGGTTTCTGAAGATGATCAACATAGAGTTACTAGAAAGATAAGGTATGAAGAAATTCATGATTGAATCCATTTTCCATTCTGTGAATGATGTGTTACTTTCAATAAGTTCAATGCAGTGTTTTTCAAACTAATGGTTTTTGTTTACACTTTTAACTGCACAGAAAACTCAACTTTATTTCATTGATCTACTTATTCAACAATTATTCATTCTGCTGAATAAATGTACAATTTTAATTCCCACTTACTTGACCTCTGGGCAGCAGTCAATACTACTGGCATTTCCCTTTCTTTTAAAACAACTATTTCTCTTACCTTCTATGATCCATCTGTCTCCTAGTTTATATTCCACTTGTCTGACCGCTATTATCTCTGTCTTATTTACTTGCTCATCATACTCTACCCTGTCATTCACTGTTGAAATTTCTCAAGGCTCAGTCTTAAGTCCTTTCAATTTCTTTTTTTTAAAAAAAGATTTATTTAACATAAATATAGAATATAATATACAATCAACTTCACTTATTTAATTTATACAACTTGATGAGTTTGGACGTATGCATATACCTGTAACAGTCATCACAGTCAAGTTAATAGAAATATACATCAGCTCCAAAAGCTTCCTTGTATCCCTTTTTGTTTTTAGTAAGAACTTAACTTGATATCTACCCTCATAATAAATTTCTAAGTGTATAACACACTATAGTGCTGACAGTCAACAGTGTAAAACAGTTGACTATCAACATGATACTGCAGAGCAGGTCTCTAAAACATATTTATTTTATGTAACTGAAACCTTATACCAATTGAACAGCAACTCTCCCCTCTCCCTCTCCCCTGACACTGGTAACCTATATTCTGTTCTCTGCTTCTATGAGTTTGACTATTTTAGAAACCTCATATAAGTGGAATCATTCAGTATTTGTCCTTCTGTGATTGGCTTATTTTACCTAGCATAGTGTCCATCAGGTTCATCCATGCTGTTCCAAATGGCAGGATTTCCTTCCTTAGAAAGGTTGAATAATATTCCATTGTTTGTATATATCACATTTTCTTTATTCATCTGTCCATATTTGTTTGGATTTTTCCCTTAAGTTGGCTATTGTGACTAGTTCTGCAGTGAAGTTGGGAGTACAGATATCTTTTTTGAGATTCTTATTTCAGTTCATTTGGGTATATACTCAGAATTAAGATTGCTGTATCATATGGTAGTTCTATTTCTAATTTTTAAGGAAACTTCATACTGTTTTCCACAGCGGCTGCATTATTTTACATTCCCACCGACAATGTACAAGGGTTCCAGTTCTTTAACATCCTTGCCTACACTTCTTTTTTTTTTTATAAAAGACATCGTAATAGCTGTGAGCTAATATCTCATTGCAGCTTTTACTTTCATTTTGCTAATGATTAGTGATGTTGAGAATCTTTTTATAATACTTATTGGCCATTTATATCTCATTCTTAAATCAGGCTATTTGTTGTTGTTTTGCTATCGAGTTATAGGAATTCATAATATATTTTAGATGTTAACTGCTTATCAATATATAGTTTGCAAATATTTCCTCATTCCATAGATTTCCTTTTTGTTCTGTGGATTGTTTCCTTTACTGTGCAGAGCTTTTTAGTTTGATAGAGTTCCATTTGCCTATTTTTGCTTTTTTGCTTTGCTTTCGGTGTTATATCCAAGAAATCAGTTTTTTAAAATTTTTCATGTTATTTATATTCTTCCCATGAAACTTCACTTATATCCATAGACAGATAAATTTAATTTCTGGCAGGGTGCAGTGGCTTATGCCTTTAATCTCAGCACTTTGGGAGGCCAGGGCAGGCGGATCACTTGAGGTCAGGAGTTCGAGACCAGCCTAACCAACATGGAGAAACCCCACCTCTACTAAGTGCAAAATTAGCCAGGCATCATGGTGCATGCCTGTAATCCCAGCTACTTGGGAGGCTGAGGCAGGAGAATTGCTTGAACCCGGGAGGTGGAGGTTGTGGTGAGCCGAGATCGTGCCATTGCACTCCAGCCTGGGTAACAAGAGTGACACTCTGCCAAAAAAAAAAATTATCTTCTAACTGTAACTTCTCTTTGTGCTGTAGACCTCTATATTAAACTATCTACTCATTATCTATTTAGATAGTTCAATGGCACTTTAGCTTTTCCAAAGACAAATTCATAATTTCCTTCCTTGGAAACTTGGGACTCAGGATTTTAATTTAAAGAGTGTGATACTGCCATCCATCCTATTGTGCAAATCTAAGACTGAGGGTCATGACACCTCCCCAACTTGCCTCCTCCTATAGCAAATCCCTCAGCAAATCTTACCAATTTAATTTACCAAATATCCTTATTTTGCCCATTTTTTTCACTTTCTTACATCAGTGCCATCTGATCATATCAACAATATTGATTAAAACCATTCAACTGTTTCCTCTATTATTTTGCAAAGGAAATAAATCATCATTTTTATCACCATTTTAAGGCACTGTTTTGTCTACCTCCTCTTTCATTTTCAATCTATATCTTTAATTTTTAATAAGCACGTAAAGTATATTGCAGACAAGTGCACAAACATAGGTGAATAGCTTGATGAATTTTTATGAAGTTAGTATACTCTTTGTCCGTGCTCCCAGATTGAATAAACACAACATTTCATATACTTAGAAATGTCCTATCTGTCTACTTTTGTCAATATCCCCTCACCCCCATTGCAGGGTGATGACTGTATTGATCTCTATCAGGATAAATTAATTTTGCCTGTTTATCAACTTTGTATAAATGAGAACATAAAGCATATAATTTTATATGTCTAGCTTCTTTTGTTAAAAATTCTATTGTCCTCAGCTCATTGAGACATCAGTGGCTATGTATGAGTAGATTTATTCCTGTATTCACTCTTCTGTTCTATTCATCTACCTGTTTATTCTTGCACCAACAAGCATTGTTGTATACAGCAATCGCCATTTATTCAGTTACTGTATTCATTATATGAATACACCACATTTTTAAAATGCTCTTTACTGTTGATGAAAATTTGGGTTGTTTGCAGTTTTTAGTTATTACAAATAACTCTATGAGCATTCTTATACATGTCTTTTGGTGACCATACCTATGCCATCTAATAGGGCTTATACCTAGATACAGTATATGCATATATTCTATTTTAGTAGATATTTCTGATACTTTCCAAATTACTTATGCCAACTTATGCTCCCAATAGCATTGTTTCAGAGTTTCAGTACCCCCAATATTTGGTATTTTCTGTTCTTTTTAACAGTGGCTCTGCAGTAATAACACATTGAGTTTCAATTTGTATTTCCCTGGTGACTAATGGAGTTGAGTGTCTTTCATTTGTTTATTGGCCATTTAGATATTCTCTTTTATGTAGTAGCTGTCCAAGTATTTTATTCATTTTATCTATGGTGATTTTGGCAATTTCATATGAATTTCAGGGTTTTTTAATGTATGCTGGTTGTGAGTATATTTGTTAAAATATGTATTTTAAATATCCTTTTTCAATCCTTGCTCTTCCCCTTTGCTCCTTTAATGGTAACTTTCATTAACAAAAGTTATTTTTAATGTAGTCTGATTTATCACGTTTTTATGCTTGGCATTTTCTGTGTCCTATTTAATAATTACTTTTGTCTAGCCAAAATAAATAAGATAATCTTTTGTTTTCTTGTAAAATCTTTATTTTTATGTAATTCACGATTAGGTTAAAACTACACCTAGTACTTTTTTTTTTAATTAGAGGCATGTATTAAGGTTCAAGGAATGTTTTCTTTCATATGGATGTCCTATTGACCTAGTAGTGTTTATTAAAAGACCAAGCCTTTCCCTGAAGTACTGAAATATCCCTTTTTGTTATGAATAAAGTGATAACATATGTGTGAATCTGTTCTAGTCCCACTGTCTGTTCCACTGGTCTATCAGTCTACACTTCGACCAATACCACCTTGTCTTAGTTACTACAGCTTTAAAATCAATCTCGATATCTGGGAGTATATTTCCTACAGTTTTGTTTTCTTTATTGTTGGCTTGGTATGTGCATTTTCATTGGCCTTTTAAAATCAGCTTCCCAATCTCAAAAAAAAAAAGTTGCTGAAGTTTTGTTTGGATTTTTATTGACTGCATAAAATGTTTTAAAGAGAAATTATTTCCTAGCATACTGAATTCTCCAGTGCATAAATAAAGTAATTCCTCCATTTATTTAGGTTTATTTCAATCATGGTTTTCAGTTTGGAGAATAGAGATTTTTTTCTTTTTTCCTTTTCCATTAGATGCTTTTCTAGGTATTAGTTTTTCTTGCTATATTTTTAGTAATGTAAATTGTGGGGTTGCCCTCCAGCCACCCCCTGCCATTTCTTTTTTCTTTGAGACAAAGTCTCTCTCTGTCACCCAGGCTGGAGTGCAGTGGTGCAATCTTGGCTCACTGCAACCTCTGCCTCCTGGGTTCAAGCGATTCTCCTGCCTCAGCCTCCCGAATAGCTGGGACTACAGGCGTGTGGCACCACACCTGACTAATTTTTTTCATTTTTAGTAGAGATGGAGTTTCACTGTGTTAGCCAGGATGGTCTCGATCTCCTGACCTCATGATCCACCTGCCTCGACCTCCCAAAGTGCTGGGATTACAGGTGTGAGCCACGGCGCCCGGCCCAGCCCCTTTCTTAAGCCTTATTTCTCTCTCTGTTCCACATATGCTGATCTCTTTCATTCCCTCATTTATCCCTTTCCATGAGCCCTTGTTTTCTTACTATTCTTCTTCTTGCTATGCTGTATTCTTGCCTTTGCCTCTCACACAGCTAATCACTACCCATTCTTTATATCTAAGCTAAATTATATATCCTGAGGGATGCCTTCCTTGATCTACCTACTTAGATAACATCTCTCTATTTAATCTACCATAGTAGTAACTAATCGTTCCTTGTACTATTTATCACAGTGAAGTTTATGATTGTCTTTGCAATTATTTGATGTATGCCTATGCGAGCTCCAAAAGGGTAGGACCATATCTGTTTCTTTTTACCCTACTGTCTTAAAGGCCTAGCAAAGCCCTTGGCTCATAGTAAGGTGCAAATAAAGACATTTTGAATGAACAAACAAATTGAATGAGCTTCAGTTTTGGTCCAGATGCTGTATGAGGTTATGAAGATACAGAAATGAGCCAAACATAATACAATCCTCAGCCTCTATCCATTTCAGAAGCTTTCCTCACCACCTTTTTTTAAGAATATAAAATGTCATTGCAGTCTTGATTAATAATAAATTTTTCTGAATTTATGGCTGCTGCTTTAATTTTCCAAACATTTTTTATATACTAAATAACAATTATTTAGCAATTTTATACTAAAGTTTATTTTAATAGAGGACATATATGTGTTCAATATGAAAGCCAGAGAATTTCTGAACTCTTGGATAATAATGGTAATTTAATAGAATACAATAAATTTGTGTAGAAAAGTAACTTCATCACCATCTTTTCTAGCTCTTCATCTACTGTGGTATTTCTTTTCCCAGAGAGGACATGAAATAAAATCATCCAGACTTTACTTGAACATTTGAAATGACAGAAATGATTTGCTTAATCCCCTCAAAGCATGTGACATTGATACTGAATTAATAAAGATTTACGGAAGGTAGCATCAGCAGCAGTGAGACTAACATAATGGGCAAATATAGGAAAAACCCTTACTTCAGTGTTACTTGTTTGGACTTTTGAGAGTGGTAATTAATCATCTCTCTTTCCCATCCGGATTCTGAGTTAGCAAGAAACAGACACATTAGATTGGGATCAAAATATCAACTTTATTGCCATTAAAGTTAGATTGGAGAGTATTGTTTTATTTGCGAAGAAAAATGAAGCTTATTACTACATCCCCCAAAATCTAGAGTCACCTGAAGGGAAAACATGACTATCAGGGATTTTGATTCCTAAAGTCTGAGAGAGACTGAATGCAGGAACAGAATGAAGACACATGTGTATGTGGTTTTTAAATAATTCCAACCAAACAAGTAATGGATGTTAGATCCTCACTGTCTCATTAGTCAGAAAAATTAGTTCTCTTTCCAAAGGGAGAATTGAAAGACAAGAAAGAAGAGTCCCAGATGTCATGTTAGCACTTTTCCCATTGGAGAGTGAAGTTTACCTCTCCTTATGGAAACCCAAGTATTAGCAAATAATATTCTTTCTATATAATAGAATACTCTATTATATATAATAGATTACATATTATATATAAATCTATATTTTACATAATATTTAGAAATTTTCATTTATATATAATATTTATGTATATAACCTATGGCATAACGATTAACATACATTAAGAACTATAGAAATCAGTAAGACTGCAGGATGGTAAAAAATATTTGCAAATAATATATCTTATAAGAGATTGATATTCAATATTTAAGAATTAAAACAACAAAAACAAAAACACAAAAACCTGATTTTAAAAATGAGAAAGGACTTGAGTAGACATTTATGCAAAGAAAATATATACATTACCAATAAGTATACAAAAAAATGCTCAACACCACTAGGCATTAATAAAATGCAAATCAAATCCACAATGAGATACTACTTCACATCTATTAAAATGGTTATTATCAAAGAAAATAAATGTGAGGATGTCGAGAAATTTGAAACCTTCTACCTTGGTAGTAAGAATTCAAAATAGTTTATCTACTGTTAAAACAATATGGTGATTTCTCATAAAATTAAAAGTAGCATTATCATATAATCCAACAATTACTCTGTTAAGTATGCAACGAAAATAATTGAAAGCAGGCTTTTGAAGAGATATTTGTGCCCTCATGTTCATAGCATTCACAATAGCCAAAAGGTGGAATTAACCTAAACGTTCCATAGATGACTGCATAAACAAAATGTAAAATATACATACATACACTGGAATATTATTCAACTTTTAAGAGAAAAGATATTTGGACCTATGCCGTAACATGATGGAACTTGAAGACATTATGCTAAGTGAAATAAGCCAGTAACACAAGGAAATCATTACATTATTCCTTTTATTGGAAGTACCTAGAGTAGTCAAATATGTGAAGACAGAAAACAGAATGGTGGTAGCCAGAGACTTAGTAGGGGAAATGGGGAGTTAGTTTTTAATGAGTTCAGAGTTTCAGTTAGGGTACATGAAAAAGTTCAAATGTAATTCAGTTGAAATTAAATAAAATTTAAATATTACTTCTTCAGTTATCTTAGCCACATTTCAGTTGCTTAGTATCCTCATGTGGCTAGTGGCTGCCATCAATGTGGAAAGTGGTAAAACCATCAGATCTCATGAGACTTATTAACTACCACAGGAACCGTATGGGGGAAACTGCCCCCACGATTTAAGTTATCTCCCACTGGGTCCCTCACACAACACTTGGGAATTATGGGAGTACAATTCAAGATGAGATTTGGGTGGGGACACAGCCAAACCATATTAACCACCATCCATCTGCAGAACTTTTTCATCTTCTGGCCAGGCGCCAGGGCTCACGCCTATAATTCCAGCACTTTGGGAGGTGGAGGTGGGTGGATCGCCTGAGGTCAAAAGTTCAAGACCAGGCTGGCCAACATGGCAAGACCTCGTCTCTACTAAAAATATATGTATATAAATTAGCTAGGCATGGTGGCATGTGCTTTTAATCCCAAGCTACTTGGGAGGCTGAGGCAGGAGAATGGCTTGAACCCAGGAGGCAGAGGTTGCAGTGGGCCGAGATTGTGCCATCGCACTCCAGCCTGGGCGACAGAGAGGGAAACTCTTGCTCTTTTGTCTCACTCAGGAATTGGTGTTAATACATCTTTTTAGAAGAATCTTTTTTGTCTGTTCCAACCTAAACTTCCTGCAAATGTTTACCATAATGGGAAATGTCTCATTCATGTCAGTGTTTACTTATTTTATTTTTCTTTTCTATTTTTTTATTTTATTTTATTTTTTTGAGACGGTGTCTCGCTCTGTCACCAGGCTGGAGTACAGTGGCACGATCTCAGCTCCCTGCAATTTCCAGCTCCCAGGTTCAAGCGATTCTCCTGCCTCAACCTCCCAAGTAGCTGGGACTACAGGCGCACACCACAATGCCCAGCTAATTTCTGTATTTTTAGTAGAGACGGAGTTTTACCATGTTGGCCAGGATGGTCTTGATCTCTTGACCTCATGATCCACCCACCTTTGCCTCCCAAAGTGCTGGGATTACAGGCATGAGCCACCGCGCCTGGCCTATTTTTCTTATACTGTACATTTTCTGAGGCTAATGACCATATGTCATTGTCTCTGTGCATTTCTCATTGTTTGTCACGTAATATGAATTCAATACATATTTGAATGAATGGACAAATAAATGAAATGAATGTAACGAATAAGTGAGTGAATGAGCATAAATAGCAACTATCCATAGCACTATAATATTCAAAAAAAGCTGATTGCTATAAATCCAGCCTCCAAGCTGACTCTTTCTTATTACTCACTATTCATTAAGAATTATTTAATGACTTATTATCTTCACTATTACATTACAATGCTTCATGTCTCATGGACCCATCTTTTGAAATTAAATTATACCTGAAGTGCAAGCTATGCAGATATTTTGTCAATTTTTCCTTTTAGACTGCTTTTTTATCAGAGCTAGCATGATTAGTTTTGGACATTGATTTCCCCATTAGCTCCATAGTGAACCAAAGTTTCATTATACTCCAAATGGGGTAAAAATAATTTCTCCTACATTTCACAAATGGTTGCTTTTGTTGCTTTATTAATGTTTGTTGTCTCATTCCTGCATATGCATTTGTGCTTTTTTTTTAAGCAATGGATTTGGCTTGAGTTCTTTTGTTTTTAAAAAGGAAATGATACTAATAGAAATGAATATTATGAAAATATTAATAACCTATATCCCTGGGTTGAGTATATACCATCAATATACACTGGATGTACAAGAAAATCAGGCAATCATAAAAGAAAGTATCTACTTCTGCTATAAAATACAGGCATACCTCATTTTATTGCACTTTGCTTTATTGCACATCAAAGATACTGTGTTTTTAATGAATTGGAGGTTTGTGGTAATCCTGTGTCCAATAAGTCTATCAATGCCACTTTCCAACAGTGTATGTTCACTTCACTTCTTTGTGTCACATTTCAGTAATTCTCAATTTTTCATTATATCTGTTATGGTGCTCTTAGAGTACTGATCTTAGATATTACTATTATAATTTTGGGGGTACCACAAACCCATATAAATAGCCAATTTAATCAATAAATGTTGTGTGTGTTCTAATTGCCCCACCAAACAGTTGTTCCCCAATCTTTTCCTCTTCCTCAGGCCCCACTATTTTCTGAAATAGAATAATATTTAAATTAGGCTAATTAATAACCCTTCAATAATCAGTAAGTATTCAAGTGAAAAGAAGAGTTACACATCTCTCACTTTAAATCCAAAGCTGGAAATGATTAAACTTAGTGAAGAAAGCATGTTAAAAACTGAGATAGGCCAAATGTTAGGCCTCCTGCACCAAAGAGTTTACCAGGTTTTGAACACAAAGAAAAAGTTATTGAAGAGAATTAAAAGTGCTACTCCAGTGAGTACATGGATGATAACATGCGCTCTTGGGTAACTAAATGCGTTGTCAATGAGTAGTGATATTTCAGATGGGTTTTGTTGTTCCAGTTGCAGAACATGGGAAGAGTAGATTTAGCATAATTTTTAAGAGCCCTAGGATTTTTAGAGTGGTAAATTAGCATTGGCTTCGACTTAGTTGCCAGTGCATCAGTCTCTAACAAGAGAGTCAGCCTGTCCTTCACAGCTTTGAAGCCAGATCTTGAGTTCTCTGTATCATGAAAGTCCTAGATGGCATTTCCTGCCAATAGAATGCTGTTTTGTCTACATGGATATTCTGGCATTTAGTGTAGTCACCTTCATCCATGACCTTAGCAAGATCTTCAGGATAAATTGCTGCAGCTTCTCCATCAGGCCTTGCTGCTTCGCTTTGCCCTTTTATGTTTTCGAAGTAATCTATAAGGATTGGAATCAACATCTTCCAAACTCCTGTTAATGTTGATACTATTACCTCTTCCCATGAATCACGAATGTTCTTAATGGCCCCTAGAATGGTGAATCCTTTCCAGAAAGTTTTCCATTGACATTGCACATATCCACCAAAAGCAAAACAGCCTATTGCTAATATGAAGACAGTTAGTCATCTAAATAGAAGATAAAATCAGCCACAACATTCCGTTAAGACAAAGCCTAATTCAGAGCAAGGTACTAATTCGCTTCTAGTTTATATGGCTAAGAGAGGTGAGGAGGAAGCAGCAGAAGAAAAGTTTGAAGCTAGAAGAGGTTGGTTAGTAAGGCTGAAGGAAAGAAGGCACCTAAGAAGAAATCATTGTGTCTTTGGTAAAGTTTATTTAAACTTATACTTTCATTGTAATGAAACATTACATTTTAATATCTGGGGGTCATATGTTAATGAAAACATTATCTAATATTTAATCTCCCATAAGTCTGATTTCATAGCCAGGATTTCTACTTCATAAGACTTCTCTCTTTTTTAAAAAACTATTTGATTTTTTTATTATACTTTAAGTTCTGGGGTACATGTGCAGAACGTCGAGTTTTGTTACATATGTATACACATGCCATGGTGGTTTGCTGCACCCATCAACCCATCACCTACATTAGATATTTCTCCTAATGCTATCCCTCCCCTAGCTCCCCACTCCCCAACAGGCCCTGGTGTGTGATGTTCCCCTCCCTGTGTCCATGTGTTCTCATTGTTCAACTCCCACTTATGAGTGAGAATATGCATTGTTTGCTTTTCTGTTCTTGTATTAGTTTGCTTTGAAGGATGGTTTCCAGCTTCATGTCCCTGCAAAGGACATTACCTCATCCTTTTTTGTGGCTGCATAGTATTCCATGGTGTATATGTGCCACATTTTCTTTATCCAGTCAATCACTGATGGACATTTGGGTTGGCTCCAAGTCTTTGCTATTGTGAATAGTGCCGCAATATGTGTGCATGTGTCTTTATAGCAGAATGATTTATAATCCTTTGGGTATATACCCAGTAATGAGATCGCTGGGTCAAATGATATTTCTAGTTCTAGATCCTTGAGGAATCGCCACACTGTCTTCCACAATGGTTGAACTAATTTACACTCCCACCAACAGTGTAAGTGTTCCTATTTCTCCATATCGTCTCCATTATCTGTTGTTTCCTGACATTTTAATGATTGCCATTCTAACTGCTGTGAGATGGTATCTCATTGTGGTTTTGATTTGCATTTCTCTAATGACTACTGATGAGCTTTTGTTCATGTTTGTTGGCTGCATAAATGGCTTCTTTTGAAAAGTGTGTGTTCATATCCTTTGTCCACTTTTTGATGGGGTTGTTTTTTTCTTGTAAATTTGTTTAACTTCTTTGTAGATTCTGGGTATTAGCCTTTTGTCAATTGGATAGATTGCAAAAATGTTCTCCCATTCTGTAGGTTGCCTGTTCACTCTGATGATAGTTTCTTTTGCTATGCAGAAGCTCTTTAGTTTAATTAGATCCCATTTGTCAATTTTGGCTTTTGTTGCCATTGCTTTTGGTGTTTTTGTCATGAAGTTGTTGCCTATGCCTATGTCCTGAATGGCATTGCCTAGGTTTTCTTCTAGGATTTTTATGGTTTAAGGTCTTACATTTAAGTCTTTAATCCACCTTGAGTTAATTTTTGTATAAGGTGTAAGGAAGGGGTCCAGTTTTACTTTTCTGCTTATGGCTAGCCAGTTTTCCCAGCACCATTTATGAAATAGGGACTCCTTTCCCCATTGCTTATTTTGTCAGGTTTGTCAAAGATCAGATGATTGTAGATGTGTGGTTTTACTTCTGAGGCCTCTGTTCTGTTCTATTGGTCTATATATCTGTTTTGGTACCAGTACCATGCTGTTTTGGTTATTGTAGACTTGTAGTATAGTTTGAAGTCAGGTAGTGTGATGCCTCCAGCTTTGTTCTTTTTGTTTATGATTGTCTGGGCTCTGCGGGCTCTTTTTTGGTACCATATGAAGTTTAAAGTAGTTTTTTTTTTTTCCCCCCAATTCTGTGAAGAAAGTCAATGGTAGCTTGATGGGGATAGCATTGAATCTATAAATTACTTTGGGCAGTATGGCCATTTTCACGATGTTGATTCCAGTGCCTAAACCACCATAAGGCTTCTCTTAAAGACAGAACACATGTATAGAGATGGGTGGGTTCTCACAGTCCTGTCAGTGTGGTCTGATTGGATCTTCTAAAAAGGGGGTGTTATTCTTGAAGCATCCAGTTACAGAGAAGGCTGGAGAGAAACTTATCAACCTCTGCCTTTGCAGATGTGTAATTAGCCTTGTGAAATTTCCGCTGTCCTCTTAATTAGCCTCAGTGTTTCTAAACATTCCAAATTACCATCATTTTCCTTTCCTATTTGACAGTCTGTTTTCCTGGATCAATGCCTTCCAGAGTAATGTTGCCAAACAGGACACTGGAAAAGTCATCGATTGAACCTCTTTTTGTTTCACTGTGTTTGGCATTGACATATATCTATGTAAGATGGGAATTATAGTATTATGTTATTCCGTATTTCACATACACATTAGCATATTGTATTTTCTGCCAGTAAATTATATGTGTCCATGACTCTCAAGATTGTGCCTCTGAGAGAGGCATCCTGAAATGTCCAGAGGTAATACATTATTTCATTAAATTTGAGACTTTAATCTTGCTTATCAGAGAAAGTCAAGCCAGAACCAGTATGAATAGGAACTGACCATTGTATAACCATGCTCCATACTGGTCAGTGATAAGCAGTGATTAACCAGCCTTTCATTCTGGCCTATATAAGCGGCAATGCCCTGCTCTGTACAATGCTCTGTGCAGTGTAGGCTTCCAATAAATAGTGCAGAGAACCTAACTGACACCTTTTGACACATCCCCCTCTGAGTTAGAAACAAGATTCATTTTCATATAAAGCTAAGGAATAATTAAAATGTGGCTAAAGGGTCCTATGCCAACTCCAACCATATTTTTACATTGGGTATTTATTTTTAGGTTCATTTTAGAGGTAATTTTATGCAGAAGAAAAATTGGGTTGGATTCTCAGAGATGCTTGTGTCCTTATCTGAATACCTCTGTTTCACTTCTTGCATGGTGCTTTGTTGATTTCATACAAAATTATCCAGAAAGAAGTAAAAAGGAAATATTCCCTAGCCATGTGCCTAGTTTGCTTTAAACTCTTTCTATGCTACCATCTCCTTCTTTAGAACTTAAGAGAGACAGAGAGTGGACATAAACCAATCAAATGCATAGGGTATTTAAAAATATCTAACAGCACCAAGCAGAGGCACTCATCATCCTGCTTAAAATTCTGTATTTAACTAGTTTAGCAATCTTGTTCATACATAGGAGACTTGGTAGTGGAGTTGGAAAATAATGAGCCTTGAAAGCTAGCTGGAATAAAGTGCCTTTCTAAACTTTGTAGAATGACTTTTAATAAACTCTTAGTCTTAATTAGTGAAAACTGTGAGAATTTTTAAATTTTTTAACTGAAATTTATTATTTTTACCTTATAAGATTATAGGATTACATAAATAAAATATGTAGAACATTTGTCATACCAATGGAAGTTAACAGCACTTAATATTATCAATTAATGTCATAATGCAAGTAATGCCACTATAGTATTAGGAATAATTTGCTTTCTCAAATATTATTTAAAAAGAAAAAAAATATTTCCCCCATACCCCATGCTCAGCAAAAGATTTCTTCACATGTAACTGAGGATATAATCTCAAACCTCTTTTTAATTATCACGCATTCTGAATGAATAGGGTCTGAGTTAACAAGATTATTCTCATATGCACTATCATAAAATAAAAGGGATTTTAATCAATCACATGAACAAAGCTACATAAATTTAATAGTATACTTAATCATGAAAGTACATTCTTTATATATCATACATATTAAAGCCCCTTTATTGGCCACAGTACTTCATGAGGACTAACTGGTTCACCTCAAACATGGCTAAAATATTTAAGCAGGAAAAACACCTGATTTTTAATAATTGTTGGAAATTTTACTGCATTTTAAAATGTTATTACACAAAATTGGAGTTATTTTACTTTATGTTTTAACCTACTAAGTCTTACAGTCTAGTACAGATATCAACAAAACTGAACAAAATTAGAAATCTACTCTTAGAAGCATAGAGGACAAGTCTACTTCATGAAGTCAAATAATATTCCAGAGATCAATCACATCAACTTGCTCCATGGGATAAAAATGTGTATCATGAGTAGGTTAATATTATGTAACATGTAATTTTAAAATCTGAGCTAAAAAGTTTTTAAGTAAGATTAGACAATATAATTATTCACATATAGAAAAGAAAGTTTTTCTTTCCTGACTGTGCACTTAAAATATTTTGAACATTTTCTTACAGTTTCTACCAATTCTATTAGTAAACTAAAAATTCTGAGGGTTTCCTTTCGACAAATGTGTATCAGAACAACTGTTCTTTTGTAATAAAAGAAGAATATGCTTAGTATTGCTAAGTTTCTCTTTTATTCCTGATATAAGGGAAAAGGTGAAAAAATACATGGTTTATTTTTACATGTTAATTAAATTTTACAAGACAGTTTTGTTCACTGTGGAACTTAGACTCTAAACCAAAGTAGCACATATAGATGAAAGTCGTTTTGTTTGAGAATATGAAATATCTGAATCTAGAGTAAATTCAAAGATCTTACCCCATAAAAATTGAATCATTTTCACTTCTTGGTTGACAGGTACTCCACAGGCTATTTATGAAAGATATGGTGTGGATGTTTTAGTTTAGTATCAAGTTTTCTGAGTGTCCACTGGGAACAGATGAGATAGGTAGGTTTATAAAACTCTAGTCCCATGTCAAGAATTAAATTGGTTTGATAATTTTTGAAATTGTGGCTTTTTTCTCTGTGTTCTAACAAACTTCTTGCCAACAATTAACTTCTCAAACTTTTAGATGATTGTATTGGTTTTTATTATTTCCCTGTTTTGGTTGTCTACATTTTGAGAGAAGAGATAGAAGAAAGTGGGGAGGAGAGAGAGAACTACACAACAACATATAAGGGAGGTTGATGGCAATTATGCAAAGAAGACAATAGATGGAAGGAAAATCCTTATAAAATAATTAAAATAAAGGATAAAATAAGAAGCGAATTAAATTTATTGAGTGTCAATAATTCTGATAATGATAGCAATAACCATATAGCCAGTCACTGACTACATGCCCGTTACTCTATTAAGTACTTTGTATGGCTTTTTTCAAGTAATCCTCATAAAAACACCAGAAAATGATATGTTTATATGCATTTTACAAATAAGAAAAAAAATGCTTCAACACAGCAAATAACTTGCTCAAGGCCATAGAGCTAATAAATTATAGAGCTGGGAATTGAGCCAAGAATGATTTGGCTCCAAACAACATCACTTTACCACTAGGGTGTAGTGCACTGTGCTAAGCCCTTTGCATGCATCATCTTATTGACTTATTGCAACACTTTGGACATGTACTATTAACCTCTTAATTTTGTTATTAAATAAAAGTATTGAAGTTAGAAGAGGTTCATGAACGTATGCAATTTTACCCAACCAAACAAGGGTTTGAACCCAGGTCTTTGTCACTCTACTGTAAGGATCACATAGTTTTGCTGGAATAGGTAAATTGATAAGAATGCTTTAGGGCCTGAGTTTCAAGAAAATAAAAGAAAGAAAAAAGAACATATTACTATTTGCCTTAGTAGCAATTCCAAGAGGATTCATAGTGGAAGTGAAGATTCTCTGAGAGAACTGAGAGTTTAAGGTGAGACAGTTGGCTCTTTGTCTTGCCTGCCTTTTAAGATATACTTTACTTCATTTGGTTGGTTTCTATCACCCTTTCCTGTGAGTTGTTTTGAATCCAGAATCACTTTTATCTGAGTAAGAAAAAAGAAAATGGAAGCCAAAAAACTGATTAGAAAAGAAATGAAAGTACTTCTGTAAGGGTCTGTCTGTCATGAACCCAGCAATGCTAAGATATAGGAAATAGAAAAAACTCACTTCTATCCTGGAGAGTTGTAAAGTATCCTTCAGGAGGAATAAATTGTCCTCTATGCACCCCTTCTAATCCACTCTCCACACTGCATCAGAGAGGTCTTTTCAAAATGCAACCCTGCCCTGGCCCTTAATTTTGAAAGCTTTCAGTGGCTTCCCATTGCTCTAAGAGGAAGACAAAGCAAGGCTCTCATCCACCTCTCCAGCTTGCAGCCCTGTGTACTTATCAGCTGCACTGTGCTTTGCTAGTCTGTGGTTTGCTAGGGCTTGCATTTGTGTGATTTCCTCCTGCTGGGGTGCTTATCCCATTCCCTAGTCTAATGTAGCTTATTCTCATCTATCCTTCAGGCTAAGTCTAGCTTCATTTCCCCAAGAAGGCTTCTCTGAACTCCTTGACTAATATAAAAAGTACTTCTTCCTTGGAAGAATTGTTAGAGTGGATTTTTTTCTTTCTTTTCTTTTTTTTTTTTTTTTTTTTTGAGACGGAGTCTCACTCTGTCGCCCAGGCTGGAGTGCAGTGGCACTATCTCGGCTCACTGCAACCTCTGCCTCCCAGGTTCAAGTGATTCTCCTGCCTCAGCCTCCCAAGTAGCTGGGATTACAGGCGCATGCCACCGCGCCTGGCTAATTTTTTGTATTTGTAGTAGAGACGGGGTTTCACCGTGTTAGCCAGGATGGTCTCGATCTCCTGACCTCGTGATCTGCCCGCCTCGGCCTCCCAAAGTGCTGGGATTACAGGCATGAGCCACCGCGCCCAGCCTTGTTACAGTAGATTTTCAAAAATAAATATTTGTCTGCCACTCTAGACTACAGGTGTCCCTAGTACACAGGAGTGTGCTTAGTCTTGTATGCCTATCTCAGTGTCTGAAACAGAGCAGCTACTGCAGTGTGGTAGCTGATTTTCAAAGTGTCGACTCCCAATGATACCTGTCTCCTGAATTCATCCTTGATTTTGATAAAGTGACTTGATTTATCAGTGGAATTTCGCAGACGTGGCATTTTGCACGGCTAGGATTGATCTTTAAGGTGGCTCAGCGGCTTTCACTTTTGTGCTTTTCGGAAACCCTGAGATATTGTCAATGATCCATATGGAGAGGAGATGCTCTGGTGTTACATGGGTAAGGAATGAGGCCCAGCTCTCCCAGTGTCTCAGTCATGCCTGTGGTTGTGACTTTGGTCTCACCCACCATCTGATGATATCTACATAAGATGTTTCAAGTGAGACCAGAAAAATAACTGCCCCTCTGTGCCCAAGCAACCCACACAACTGTGAGATACAACACAGTAGCTATTGTTTTTATTTTGTTTTGTTTTGGTTTTGGTTTTTTCATTTGTTTGTTTTTGTTTTTGTTTTGAGATGGAGTCTCACTGTGTTGACCAGGCTGGAGTGCAATGGTATGATCTCGGCTCACTGCAACCTCTGCCTCCAGGGTTGAAGCAATTCTCTCACCTCAGCTGCCGAGTAGCTGGAACTACGGGTGTGTACCACCACAACTGGCTAATTTTTGTATTTTTAAGTGGCTAAGTGTGGTTGCTTGTTACATACCGATAGATAACTGAAAAATAAGATGCATAATAAAAATGTAGAATTTATAGATTAGTGTAGTTTCCTCATGACTGGATTCTTGCTATTTAGGATATAGGGCAAGGTATCAGGGTCAGGCCTATATGGATTTTTTTTCTTTTTTTCTGGACCTGTCAGGCTCATCCTGCACTAATACATGCTAAAGAATAAAAACGAAGTATCATTCTCTAAATTCTGTATATGTAGTACATCTGAAAACGCATGTAATTTATATTAACTCTTGTTTCACTAGCCTGTATATACTACAATAGTCACTTTTGTGTGTATTATCAAATTTTACTATGTTAATGCCAAAATTACTGATGGAAAGGCCTCAGCCCCCTTCAAAATATAGCCCACTCTCCCAATATTTCTAGGGTCTCCAGAAACTTTTTCAGAAGTGCCCAGAAGCAATTCTTCTGGATTACTCTTCTCCAATCTTGCTTCTTTGCTGTACTTATCATTTACTAAGTGTGGCATTCCCTGCTGGTGCTTCAGTTTCGAGTCTGGAGAGAATGCTGCCTTATTCAAGTTTCCTTCTTCCTGAATACTCAGTTATGCAAAACATATGAGATATCAAGCCAGGCACTGTGCTGCTTTCAGTCTTCACTACATTGAATTCATAATGTGTTCTGTGCAGAAATGTGGAAAATCTCCCATTTTATAGTGCAAACTGGAAGCATTTAGTAGGCACTGGTCCATAGCAATTTTAGTTCCTAGATTAATGTTCAATTCTGCTTCCTATGAATTATCTTTTGCATCTCATGGCCCTTCTCTTTGAGCTCTTGATTTCTGCTTCTAGGCCATTTTTCTTTGTCATAAAATGTACCCTATATTTGTAGATAAGTAGTTTTTACAGGTCAGTTGCTGAACGGAGTCATTTAGGTGTCATACGCCTCTTTTCATTTTGTACTGTTTCTGTCACTTTCAGTATGAGCTCATATAATTTCTTTAAAACCATTGTGGGCTTTCTGTGTATCAAATTATAATTCTTGTAGACAAAATATCCTGTACTTCTCCCATTTGAGGTTGCTGTGGTAAGATGCCTTTAAATTTCTTATAACCTTTATTATTTAAGAGATATTGCCTAAGAGGCACACCTTACAATAAGGCTTAATAGAGGATTTTTCTCCTCAACCTGGATTTTATTTTTGCCCTCTGAAACCATTTCTTACTTTAAGAATATTTTCCTGGGAGTGCCTGTGTCTTAGAAACAGTTTGTTTTTCCTTCAAAATCTAGCAAGTATCAGTTTTTTTCAAAAATTTTTGCCCAATATCCAAATCTTTCTTTCTTTTATTTCCCTCTTGTTATTCACAAGGGTCATCTTGAGTTCAGGGGCTGTATTATTCTATTTCGCCATCTCTCTAGACTCTCTATATACTACTCCTCTTCAAAGTCCTGCAATGGTTTTCCCATGTATATCAACTGAGGCAACTAGGTGGGTGACAAGGTCACCAGATTTCAAGCACTCACATTGTGAGTTGCTATTTAGGCTTATTTGAGACCTCTGATCACATATAAAATGATTTTGCTGCGGATAGAGGCAGTACCTGTCAACAAAGAGGAACCTGTAATTTTCTTCTGTTTTTATGCTGTTTAGCTAATGGCAAGATACTTATCCTCACTGACTTCATTTATCTTTGAAATTATATAATGAATTTACAGGATTCTTATTGTACTTAGATGTTATATCCTGTCACAAAGGAAATATTGAGTAAAATAGTCATTATTATAAACATTTTATTTATGGTGTATGCACATGTGTTTGTTACGAAATCAACTAGACCCATTTTGCTGGCATTGTGAACATGGACCAGTTATTTTAGCCATCTCATACACATTACTTCTGTTTAAGAAAGGAATAGCAATGCTTCTCATAGGGATATTAGGTCAGTAGTTCAGAACTATTTGAAACTTTAAGAAATATATATATATGAGATATATATATATAAATACATATAGATATATACACATAGATATGATATATAAATAAATATACATATATATTGATTGCAGGGTTCTATGTCAGACACTTATTTCGAGCTTTTGTCATGTAAGTAATTAAAATGTAAAACAAGAACCCCTGAGGTGATTCCAGTGCATAACTGGAGTGGAAAAGCACTATTTTTGAAGCTGAAGATGGCACTTGTAAATTACCTGACCTAAAGTGCAGTAAGCACTCAATAAAGTTATATTTACATCCACTGCCTTGCACACTGCCTCCCTCCGCTGCCATGGACAAGAGCTTTGTGAATCATTTAGGAGCCAATAGCAACCTGCCATGATTATTTTTAATCATCATGTGACGTATTTTTAGCCAACTGGCAAGATTACACTCAGTACACACAAAATATATAACTATAGTTGCCTATGTTATATTACCTCACTGTTTCAAATAAATGGTTGCTTATTCAGCTTTGTGTAATAATTTGAAACACGATAAAGTTTTATTTAATCAAAAATATCTCCCTTTTTTATAAAAAATGCTACGCAAAATTAACAGAAATCAGAAAATTGTATTTAATCAGTACCCAATATTACTAGGCACTATGAAATGCACTAAAGAAGGCAGTCCCGAAAACATAACATACCGCATTGTTCCATGACAAGTGAAAATAGACTTTCTCTCATTGGTCATTTCGCAAAAAAAAATAAATAAATAAAAATTAAAAAAATTTTAAAAACCAGCATACAGTAAAATCTTAAGGGCTTTACTATCATTTACATTTTTCTTCAATTGCAAAATAAATTTAAATTTGGAAAAGAGAATCATGTAGAAGATAAACTGTATCCATGATCTTACCATTTAAATTTACTGTTAACAATTTTCAAGCTTTCCTATTAAACTATTTATCATGCTAAATAGCAACCCATTTCTTAACAAAATGGAATCACACTGTAGATGCATTGCTTAAATTATTACTTAATATTTCAAGTAGAATTTCTGATTTCCTGCAGAATTATTTTAATGACTACATGAAACACCATAATTAACCAATCTCCTATTGTTGGCTATTATATCATTTCCAATTTGCTATCTGATAATTATGCTGTGATGAAGTATATATTATTTCCTTGATATATGTGATCAGAAAGGGAAATGCTGGTTCAATGGATCTGCTTATTTTAAGACATGTCAACATATATTTCCTCGTTGGCTTCAAGAGAGACAAACAATTTTACTCCTCCACAACACTTCATTTCTCAAGTTTCTTTTTTTTAAAGCTTTGTCAATTTGATAGGTCAAAAATAGTATTTCCTTATTTTAATTTAATAGCTACAATTTTAAAACTCATGGTTATTACTTATGGTGATGCTTTTGTGCTTTAAGCCAACAGTTGAACAATAACAATTAACAGGACACTTTGACAACAGTTTCACATATATTATTTCATATAATATCCCAGCAGCCTTGAAAGACAGTGGAACCAATCATCACTAAAGTATATCACAAAGCATAACAATTCATTCTAAAAGTATTCATACATTGAACTCCCAGTTTCAAAATTTAGGTGAATATTTTAATAAGACCTGCCATTCACAGAGTTCATGAAAAAGAAGGAATTTTCTTCCCTAGGACTAATCCCTTTTGGATAAAGATGAGAAGCTATTATTTCATTCTGGCCTGGTGAGTACATGAGCTAAATGCTGACAAGGCAGGTTTTTTTTTCATCTTAGGCTAAGCTTTTTTTGGGCCAACTTCCATAATTTCAGTTTCTGTAGCATTACACTGTACTACATTATAAATGCTATGTTCTATTTAAATCTAGGCATTATTTTTGCCAAGCCTTCTGTCTACCTCTGTTTTTTGTGTTTTATATGATTTTTTATTATAATAGTAACAAATTCTCATTGCAAAAAGTAACTACAGAAATGTACAAAGTAAAAGTAAATAATTCCCCCTTCTTTGGCCTTCAATTCCATTTCTGGAAAAAGCCACCATTAGCAGTATGATTTTCATCCTTTGGTATTTTCTAATATATTTTGTACATAGTTGGGCCCATTCTATACTTATAATTATATTGCATGATTTTGTTATTTGTCATTGTACAGTATTTGATCTGGCTTCAGAGTATGCTATTGGAGGGATATAACATTTAAATTTGGGCTGGGTGCAGTGTTTCACACCTGTAATCCCAGAACTTTGGGAGGCTGAAGTGGGCGGATCACTTCAGGCCAGGAGTTCGAGACTAGGCAGGTGTTTGAAATCAGCCTGGCCAACATGGCAAAACTCCTCTCTATTAAAAATACAAAAGTTAACCAGGTGTGGTGGTGCCTGCTTGTAATCCCAGCTACTCAGGAGGCTGTTGCAGGAGAATCGCTTGAATCCAGGAGGTGGAGGCTGCAGTGAGCTGAGATGGTGCCACTGCACTCCAGCCTGCACAACAGAGTGAGACTTTGTCTCAAAAAAAAAAAAAAAAAAATTAAATCTAGTGCCTTATAATGAAGATTTATGTTTTTCTCCAGTATAGTTGCCAATATTAAAATAAGCATCTTTATATGCCAGTATATTTCTAGATTACATTGCTAAAAGTTTATTGTTAACATAAACTGCTAAAAGTTCAGTTGAAAGTGATTCACACATATGGTAATGCTAGGCGTTACCATACCTTTTTCAAAAATAAATTTCTAAAATATCCATCCATAGGTTATTATAGTATCTATCTTCATACTCTCACCAACAATGAATGTATTTATTAGTGTTTATATTTGTTCATCCCAATTGTTAAAAAAAAGTTTTAATTTGCTTTCAATTAGCATAAGGTTGACCATTTAAAAAAATATATCTAGGGCTGTTCGGATTTTATTTTTAGTAAGCTGCCTTTTCCTATTCACTGCCTATTATTCTATTGAATTTTTAGACTTTTCTTCCGGATTTGCAGTCTTTCCTTGTATATACCTAAACCAGATATTTTGTCTAATCATATGTTATATATATTTCTCAGTCTTTAAACTATTTATGTAATTTTTGCTAGTAAGAAATTCTAACTTTTTATGTGGACTCATTTAATTTTTAAAGGTTTTGGTTTTTCTGTTATGCCTATGAAGGCAATCCCTATTCCAATATTAGTAATATTTTTAATACATGTAGTGTTTTTTGTATCTTTTATTTTTGTGTTTCAGCCTCACATCTTGATTAAACTAGGATTTATTGTCAAGTAAAGCAATAAGAATATATACTTAGTAGACTTACCCTGTATGTTTTATGTGTGTGTTTGTATACTTCCCTAAATTAACAGCTAGTTTTTCTAGTGTTGTCATTAAATAATCCTAAATAACTTCATAAATTTTCAGTCATTTAAAATGACACCTTAAACCTAAAATAAATTTTTCTAAATGTTTCTATTTTGGGACCTTATACATGTTCATTTATTTGTTAGCCTATTGTTGTGCCAATGCTCTTAATTACTATGAAATTATAAGGCATTATATATATTGTAGGACTAATCCAATTTCTTTCCTAATTTTTATGGCTATTTTTATGTTATTTTGTATATAAACATTAGAATTATTTTTTTTTCAGATGAGAATAAAAAGCAGTTAAATGAAGATTTTCATGATTAAACCTTGAGAAAATAGAAGAGAGCAAATATATTTCCTTTGGCCATGTTCCCGCTGGCTGTTGGAATAGATAAATAGTTTAGATTTTCAGCAACTTACTTTATCTAATTGTTTACAGTTTTATTCATTAGTACCTACTTCACTGATCAGAGGAAGTTTTCTTGTAATGAAATACGCTAATTCCGTTTACTGAAACTGTGTGAAGGAAGTAAAATGACAAGTTTTCATTCAGTAGTGTTAAGATTTCTGTTCATGTGAAAAGCCACACAGCTGCATATGGTCTGCTAGCTCTTGGATTCTCAAAGAAACTGGAAAGGCAAAGAAACAGCCTACATAGAGAAAACTGTGAGTCAGAGCATGTAGTAACTTCTACTTCATCTCATCATTATAAATTGAATTAAGTTGAATAAACTGAATTAACTGGTACTCTTAAGCTCAGTTTTTCTTAAAATTAGGGCCATTAAATGCAAGTTCAAATGAAGAGCATAGGGAATGTATGACTACCTTTGTAAACATAGAACATACCTAACCTATGTAGTTTAAGATCTGAAAGTTCACTGTAAGTCTGTAGTTTGAACCTTGAATTCACTATGTAACAATATGTTAAAAATGAAGTTTCCAGGAAAACTTCAAGACAGAATAAATGTGAAATTCTAAGGCTACATTTCCATGTGTAGATAAAGAAATTAGAAAAAAAATCATTTTCAGGCTTCTTGGAGTCCTCCAACCAGCATAAATATTAAGAAAATGGGGTCAGAATGTGAAAGCGGGGGGAGGTCAAAAATGATATTTCTTTGAAGAGAGGTATTATTGGGCTTCGAGCTCCCATTTCCTCTTTGAAATAATAACTTTGCTACTTTCTTACTCCAAACCTAGTAAAGCAAGTGTCAAGAGAATCCCTTAGACAAAACTGCAATGTTTTTCTTGCATTCATGGGCCAATGCCTGACATACATCTGAAATACAAAGTCAACCATTGAGTGGAATTTTACCCTACCCAGAAAATCTTGAAGCCAAGGAAAGATTATCATTTTGGATATGGAATTGAGAAAATGACTTCACTGAGGTGGGTGTTCATTCTCAAAGTTTACAGGGCACAGATAAGCAAGAGTGTTTGCAATGGACCATAACCCAGCAAGAGGTTTCCTTCAATCCTGTCTGATGACATTGTCTGGAAAAGTAAGACCTGAGCAGAAAAGGGCAGTAAATCTATTGTTGTTTGACCAGAGGTAGAGAAGGGAAACACAAGGTATGAGAATATAGTTGCATCTACTCAAGCTAAGGCAACTTCAGGAAGTAAGGTGTCAACAGTTGTTAAATCCTAAGGAGCCAATGGAAATTTGTGCATCAGAGAAAGCATAAGCCATACCCACCCAGGGTCACCAGCTTTAAATGTCTGCCTAACCAAAAACTGGAAGCCACCAACCAAGTAAGAATAGACCCATCTCCTTACCTATTTTTCTCCCAACTGCCAAATCCTCCCAGGACCCAGATTTAGCCTTATCCAATTGAATCAGCAGTTAGAAAATAGAGGACGAGGTAAGAGAGTATGAAGGAGAAAAAAACAAAAACAAAAAAACACCTGCCTTCCCCCACTAGAAGACTTGAGCCTGAAGATGGCCCACTCTGTCTAAGAATTTTTTAAATATGCTAATTCAAAAGTAAAATTTGATTACAATTCTGGACTGAAAATGCTAGTACTGTTTACGTGGTTTAAAGTGAGCCTAGGATTGCTATGATCTAAGACAGAGCCAGAAAATTCCCGAATCTTGTCATGATTTTGTCCAGGGAAAGAGACAGCCTCCGCTCTCTAAATAAAACATAAAATGTTGATGAGAAATGTGTCGATAGCAATACATTCTAGACAGTAAAATAGTTAACAAATAAAAAACTGTATGAAATTATAATTTAATATTGATTTTAGACCAAAATAATTATTTCAACACATAACTGAGATATCCTGGAGTCCTAAGAAAACATCTTCTTCCTCCAAGCTAATCATTTCTGCCCAACTTAAATCCATGAGTCTTAAGCCATCCCTTCACTCAACTCACACTAATATAAAGATTCAAAATCCTTAGGCTGATACCTGAGCTCTGGATTCTTGGATTCTGTCCACTTGGAGGACAGATGCCTCCAAGTGGCATCTGTTCATATTCTGTTCATCTGAGTCTTTTTCTGTGGGAACTGAGGATGGATAATTATGACCGTCTGTCCATCAGAATATCCTCCATGGCATCCCTCTTACTCCCCATAGTATACTTCACCCTCCAGTGGCTCTCTGTTGGAAAGGTTAATATACAGAATATTTTTATGTCTTTAAACTCACAAAAGTTATATTCTTTCATTCAGCTATTCATACATTCATTCATTTATCCATTAATTGTTCACTTAAATTTATATTTTACAAAATGCCAGATGATAAATGTTAAAAAAAAAATGGGAGCAATGAAGTTACTCCAAAATCCTAAATGGAAGATTTGCAGTTTTGGAATTGTGGGTGAAAATAATAAGTGCTTGTCAACTCTTTTCACCATGTAAATGGAAGGATATATGAGGAAGCTTAAAAATGACAATTTCTTTGGAGAGGGTTACTGGGGGGCTGTACATGTCTCTTTTTTTCTCTTCAAAACGCCATGGTTTACTGCCAATCTCTGGAAAGTGAGTTTATAGCTGACCAGGTAGATAGTATACTGCACCATGGAACACTGCAGAAAGATATCCACACAAATGTATCAAAAGCATCATGAAAGAAAAAGCCAACATTTGTATATCCACCTTTTTGAGGGCATTAGCTTCAGATTAAAACCACACTAATAAAATAAGGCCTTTTTAAATCCTTTACCTCTAATCCTCACTGTCTACTGAGCCTAACTCTTGAAAGAACAGAAATAAAAATTTAAGAATGTGGTAAAATGGTGAATCAAGAAAGAAAGTAGACATAGAACATCCTTGTTCCTGTCAATCTTTGAGTCCTGTGTCATGCAAGAATTGTGATAGCGAGTTAAGAAGCTTTAAATAGATTGAAAGACTGAAGCTTTGGTATAAGATTGCATTGGGCTTTTTAATATCTAAGAATGTGCATAGACAATATAGTGAAATTACTTCAGGGTTTCACAGTAACCAGCTTAGCATTTTCAGCAAATTGGTTAGACAGTATGTTTAAGGAGCTCAATACCTAGAAAGACAGAGAAGCTGCATATAAATAAAGTGTAATTCATTTATTCAACCAATATTTATTGCCCATGTGCTATATGCTAGGCATGGTTCCAGGTATTGGGAAAATAGCATGAACACTGTGTTAGATGCCTTAAAAAATATTTAAGAAAAGGTACTTTGAAATTAAAGAAGTAATTCTGTCCTGGGGTCTGTAGGAAGGCTTCATGAAGGTAATGTTTTTACATACCTTCACAGAGGCAGAAATTTGTCAACATATGAACTACCAGGTAGCAGAAGCTGTGTGTTTAGAGGGAGAAAGGGAAAAGTTTGAAACAGTATAGTAGCCATGCGCTGCGAGTCAGCATGGTGTCTTGGGGAAAGCATGAGTATTGAGTCAAACAGAGCTAAATTTACATCTAGGTGAAATCTTAGCTGAGTAACAGCTGACAATTTTATGAGCCTATCTGAAGTTGTCAACGTTGTGGGTGGTTTTCAGATCTTTTCTAATATTCACTTTGCCAAAGCGAGAATGCTTCAAGTGACACTTTTGCCTCATAAGAGAACATCTTACATTACAAAAATCACATATTTTTTTCTAAGTAGAAATTGTTTACCTATAACTTTGATGAAGACAGAGAAATAAACCAAGTCGTGATCAAAGAGTGAAAGATGTCATAGATCATAAAACTATTAGTCATAAGGCAGAGCTACATATTTATAGAGATGCATGCTTATGTGGTTTGGCTCTGTGTCCCCAACCAAATCTCATCTTGAATTGTACTCCCATAATTCTCACGTGTTGTGGGAGGGACCAGGTGGGAGATAATTGAATCGTAGGGGTCATTTCCCCCATACTATTCTCATGACAGTGAATAAGTCTCATAAGGTTTCATGGTTTTATAAGGGGTTTCCACTTTCACTTCTGCCTCATTCTCTCTTGCTGCCACCCTGTAAGAAGTGCCTTTCACCTCCCACCATGATTGTGAGGCTTCCCAAGTCACATGGAACTGTGACTCTTTTAAACCTTTCTTCTTCCCCGTCTCCAGTATGTCTTTATCAGCAGCATGAAAATGAATGAATACAGTAAATTGGTGCCAATAGAGTGGGGGCACTGCTGAAAAGATACCCAAAAATATGGAAGCAACTTTGGAACTGGGAAACAGGCAAAGATTGGAACATTTTGGATGACTCAGAAGAAGACAGGAAAATGTGGGAAAATTTGGAACTTCCTAGAGACTTGTTGAATGGCTTTGACCAAAATGCTGATAATGATACAGACAATAAAGTCCAGGATGAGGTGGTCTCAGATGGAGATGAGGAACTAGTTGGGAACTAGAGCAAAGGTGACTCTTGTTATGTTGTAGCAAGGAGACTGGCAGCATTTTGCCCCTGCACTAGAGATTTGTGAAACTTTGAACTTGAGAGAGATGATTTAGGGTATCTGGCAGAAGAAATTTCTAAGCAGCAAAGCATTCAAGAGGTGACTTGGGTGTTGCTAAAGGCATTCAGTTTTACAAGTGAAGCAGAGCATAAAAGTTCAGAAAATTTTGCAGCCTGACAATAGGATAGAAGAGAAAATCCTATTTTCCAAGGAGAAATTCAAGCCTGCTGCAGAAACTTGCATAAGTAACACAGAGACGAGTGTTAATCACCAAGACAATGGGGAAAATGTCTCCAGGACATATCAGAGACCTTCGTGGCAGCCCCTCCCATCACAGACCCAGAGGCCTAGGAGGAAAAAATGGTCTTGTGGGCTGGGCCCAGGGTCCCTCTGCTGTGTGCAGTCTAGGGACTTGGTGCCCTGCTTCCCAGCCACTCCAGGGATGACTAAAAAGAGCCAAGGTACAGATCAGGCTGTAGCTTCAGAGGGTGCAAGCCCCAAGCCTTGGCAGCTTTCATGTGGTGTTGAGCCTGCAGGTGCACAGAAGTCATGAATTGAGGTTTGGGGACCTCTGCTTAGGTTTCAGAGGATGTATGGCATCACCTGAATGTCCAGGCAGAAATTTGCTGCAGGGACAAGGCACTCATGGCGAACCTCTGCTAGGGCAGTGCGGAAGGGAAATGTAGGGAGGGGACTCCCACACAGAGTCCCCACTGGGGTGCTGCCTAGTGGAGCTGTGAGAAGGGAGCCACTGTCCTCCAGGCCCCAGAATGGTAGCTCCACCGACAGGTTGCATTGTGTGCCTGGAAAAGCCACAGACTCTCACAGCAGCTTGTGAAAGCAGCCAGGTGGGGGGCTTTATCCTGCAAAGCCACAGGGGCAGAATTGTTCAGTTGTTGTGGGTTCCATGGGAACCCACCCCCTTGCACCAGTGTGACCTGGATTCGAGACATGAAATCAAAGGAGATCATTTTGGAACTTTAAGATTTGACTGCCCCAGTGGATTTCAGACTTGCATGGGGTCTGTAGCCTCTGTATTTTGGCCAATTTGTCCCATTTGGAATGGCTGTATTTACCCAATGCCTGTATCCCCAATGTATCTAGGAAGTAACTAACTTTCTTTTGATTTTACAGGCTCATAGGTGGAAGGGAGTTAACTATCTTGGATAAGACTTTGGACTGTGAACTTTTGAGTTAATGCTGAGGTGAATTAAGACTTTGGGGGACTGTTGGGAAGGCATGATTGGTTTTGAAATTTGAGGACATGAGATTTGGCAGGGGCAAGGTGTGAAATGATATGGGTTGGCTCTGTGTCCCCACCCAAATCTCATCATGAATTGTACTCTCATAATTTCCATGTGTTGTGGAAGGGACCTGGTGGGAGATAATTGAACTATCGGGGCAGTTTCTCCCGTACTGTACCTGTGGTACTGAATAAGTCTCATGAGATCTCATGGTTTTATCAGGGGTTTCAGCTTTCACTTCTGCCTCATTCTCTCTTGCTGCCACCATGTTAAACGTGCCTTTTGCCTCCCACCATGATTGTGAGGCCTCCTGAGCCACGTGGAACTGTGACACCATTAAACTGATTTTTCTTCCCAGTCTCAGGTATGTCTTTTTGAAAGACAGCATGAAAATGGACTAATACACATGCATATATTTAAATAATTATAAATGTTCTTTATTGAACAATAGATTATATATATATAATGTGTATATATATATAATGTGTGTGTGTGTGTGTGTGTGTGTGTGTGTGTGTGTGTGTATATATATATATATATATATATCAGACATTAGGTTATGTGGTCTAGATACTTTACCTTAATTCTTCTAACAATCTTATGCCATTGGCATTATAATCCATACATCTTATGTTGAGGATGCGACAGGTTAAGTAACTCATCCCCAGTTACGTACCTATTAAGTCACACATCAGTTTTCTTTGATTCCAGAATCCATAACTGTATGCACCACTGAACACTTCATTATTTGAATCAGGTTTTATTGCAGATATTTCCATTCTAATTCCCAGAATTTTATAGTAATCTCTGGGAAGCTGGGACAGGAACAGAGGATGGGTAAGGGCCCACCATGAAAAACACCCAATGATCCCTTCTCTCTGATTCCTACCTTTTGTCCCTGGCCTAGGTCTCATTAGTTTTCTTAACTTTCTCTCCCATGACGATGTTATTGCTTCATCTGATGCACTCTTACAAGCATCAGAGGCCAACCTTGTTGTTGGTCCAGCTTGTTTGTTGAGGTTCTCTTGATGTAACTACTCATTTCCCCTTTCACGTTTCTTTGGCTTTCCTTCAAATCAATCCTTTGGTGTCTTTTTAACATGTTAGTTTATATCTAAGCTCCCAAGAGTTACCCAATTTAGAGATTATCATCTCAGTTACTATTTTCACCATCATCAACATCAGTATCATTATCTCCATAATCATCAATACATTGATTAGATATTGAGAACATTTTTTGTGGCTCTTTTGTTGATGTCAACAATGTGGGAATTATGTGAAAATCAGTCACATAATGGGCAAGTTTATGGCTTCTTTCCTACTGGTTGAATGTACTATGGACTGTGAGGGATTCACTCTTCCCAGTGGTCAATTACATGGCCATTTTTACCCAAAGATTTACTTTGGAGTAGAGACCAGGTGTGCAATGTGATGGTTTCCATATGATACTTGCTGAGCAGGATGCTTGGATATGCAGATACATTTTCTGACTCAGTATGGTGATATTTTTGTTTACCTGGTGGCCATATGGAAGTTGTACAAGTTCAATCTAGGGGCTTGACAGGTTATTTCTTTGGACAGCACAGCCGAGACATGCTGTTCACCTAAGAGCTGTCAGTTTCAGCTTCAAATGTGGATAGTTTCTGCCAAGGCTGACATCTCATTTTCCCATCCTCTCTCCAGCAGGGAGGCTCTCCTGCCAAGCCCACTTAAAATAGTTTCTTCAGTTGTGGCTGGTACTTGTTAACTCCTTTGGGGCAGACTACTTCTAAACTTTAAGTCATAATATCACCTATTTCAAAATTAATGTACAATGAAAAGTCCCCTGGTAACATGGGGAGAGGAAAGGAACAATTCTAATCTTCTATCATCTCAACGTTTTGACAGTTGCTTAAACACACTCTGTAGGATGACTGGCCTTATTCACAATCACTGAGATCATTTAAAGCCTATTTTTCCAGTAAATTCCACTTAGTCCAGTAAAAATGTTCCAAATACCTCATTGTATATTTAAATTTGCATACATAAATGTCTTATAAGTGACACCATCTTATAAACATTCCTGAGGGACTTAAGCATCTAAGACATAATCATTGTTTATTAAAAACAATTCTGAAAACTTGTTTCATGGGAAGCATTTTGCATTTATTCTGAGTCAATTCTCACCACAACATTGCTAAGTAGCAATTATCACATTTTACTTATGAGAAAACCAAGAGCCAAATATACTAATTTTATCTTCCAAGGCTATCGACCTAAGATGCATAGGATTGTAATCAAGGTTTGCTAATGCTAAAACCTAAATACTCTTCTTCTCATATTTATTTTCAATATTAAAATGAACAAAAGTAATGAAACCATTTGGAGAAGAAGTAAACCTATATAATGCAGAATATTACACGAAGTTCAACTAAACTTCCCAACTATTTGCGGCATCAGTGGCAGTGGGAGCAGTGTAGGAGTAATGGTGCACATGAAGGTATTTTTAATTTGGGTGCTATATTGGAAGGTACCTTATAATTCCTTCAGTCTAATTCCGTTGTAGCGTTACTTCCAGGAGTGTGGTCTAGGGATGTTAACTCACTTGCCTAACTCTACATATTATTTAGGGGGCAACTTTAGGAACAGAACTCAATCATTCTGACTTATGATACAAAAAGGAATAGCTAAATTTGCCTTGACTTTGTACCTGGTAGCGGGTGGTCTCTATAACCACTCAAGTAACTGTATAAGCTAAGATTTGCTAAAATTAAGGAATTAATTATGTAGATAAATGTAATATTTTTTGTAAGTCGATTTAAATAAGATTTACATAAGTGTTAAGAGTAGTACAATTTCATTAAAGGTACACTTTCTTATACCATAAAATGAAAAGTCAGAAATACTGGTCTATAAATGCAAAATTTATTTTTTAGAGATTTTTTAGGGGTTGTATTCAGTTTTTATAAGAACTGAGGTCTTTGTCCTGGGAACTTGTGCTTAACTTCTGACCCTTAGCTTTTATTTCTCAAACACCTCAGAAAGAGGAGGAACCTAAATATCAATAGTGACTATTTGTGACTTCTGATGATTTCTGATTTGGTAATCCCAGGTGTTAAGAGCACAAAATAATTCTGAATAGAGTCCAAGGTTATCTGCTATGCAAATGGGAGCTACACTGTCATGGCCTTTCTTTCCAACCAGAAAATCCAGCTGTAAAGTTTGTGATGAAGGTGTAGCATGGTCACATTTCTTTTGTAGCTTCACCTTTTCAAACTGTTTTTATTTTTTTAGATTATGTGGTCTTCAAATGTTTCTCTTCACCCTTACCTTTAAGAAGCAAATATGCAGTGGAGATATTAGTATATCCATGAAAACGATGTGCTTAAGTTTTAGTTTATTTTTTCTACTTAAATAATTCATGACTTTTTTTTTTAATGGAATTTTACTTTTGTTGCCCAGGCTGGAGTGTAGTGGCATGATCTTGGCTCACTGCAACCTCCGCCTCCCAGATTCAAGCGATTCTCCTGCCTCAGCCTCCGAAGTAGCTGGGAATACAGGCATCCACCACCATGCCTGGCTAATTTTTGTATTTTTAGTAGAGACGGGGTTTCACCATGTTAGCCAGGATGGTCTCAATCTCCTGACTTCGTGATCCGCCCGCCTCTGCCTCCCAAATTGCTGGGATTACAGGCGTGAGCCACTGCGCCCACCAATAACTCATGACTTTTGATGATTTAGTTGCCTACCACACTTCTCTTCCTTTTCTTCCCATTCTCCCCTGCTATTTTCAAAACAATGGATCAAGAACAAGACTTGAACAGCAGATGGGTTTTGAGGGGGATGATGATCTTTAGGAGCCATGAGAGGACGCTAAGAACACAACTTGTGTAGCACTTCTCCAAGACAATAGCCATCACTTTCCATAGCATTCATATAAATTATCCTGAAATTGGTTAGGAAACTGAACTTTTAGAATCTTCTAGTACATTCAAGACATGAGCACATGTGAACTCAATCTCAATCACAGTTTCTCACGCTGGGTCGGAGGGTGATTGGATTAACCTGAACCCTAACCATCACTCATCTAAACACATGGTTTCAGAGACTCCCCATATGTTTCTATCTCCCCATTAATCATCTCAGTCATTCTTCTGTCACCGCTGAATGTGAAGACATAACTCAGGTGTGTATGAAGGCAGAAAAATGATTGACAACCATAAATTGGGATCCTTTTGCTTCTTTCTGGTATATTTTCCCTCTGAGTCTTAAGTAGGATGGTCTATGCGGATTTGAGTCTCTGATTAAAAAAAATAATAATAAAATAAAAACCAAGAATATGAAATAGGTTTTCCTATATTCAGTGTAAAATATATCTCTTCATGTAACTATTTACAAAATAAACTACCTGAGGCAATGGATATGTTAATTGGTTTGATTGTGGTAATCCTTTCACAATGTACAAGTGTATCAAAATATCACTTTATACGCCTTAAATATATATAGTCTTTGTTAGTTACACCTCACAAAGCTGGAAGAAAATAAGTTTGTGATCAAATGAAAGACAACTAATAGAGATTATGCCATGTCCATAGAGCTGAGTAACCAAATCTAAAATAATTCATGTAGATCAGGGAGGTAAAAATGAAATCATTATTTTCCTGTCTTCTCTTCTTTACCTCATGCTTGCAGTCATTTAAGACACTTTTGGCCAGGCGTGGTGGCTCATGACTGTAATCCTAGCACTTGGGATGCCAAGGTGAGCAGATCACCCGAGGTCGGGAGTTCGAAACCAGCCTGGTGAAACCAGGTGAAACCACGTCTCTACTGAAAATACAAAAATTAGCCGGGCGTGGTGGCACTTGCCTGTTATCCCAGCTACTTGGGAGGCTGAGACAGGAGAATTGCTTGAACCCCGGGGGCGGAGGTTGTAGTGAGCTGAGATCGCATCACTACACTCCAGCCTGGGCGATAATGCGAGACTCTCTCAAAAAAAAAAAAAAAAAAAAAAAAAAAAAAAAAAAACATGTTTATTGAGAACTTCAATAAAATCGATGTCCCAAGTTCTGAGGTTTCCAGTACTATTTTCCATTAGTGGATAGTGAGTTGCATTCCAACACAGAGACTAAGAGATTCTTTCACCCAACTTATTAAATCAAGTACTGACTAGCAACAATAATTCAAAGATTACTGGTAGAAAGTCACCAACTAGATAGGGTCTTACCCGCTATGTTGTTAATGATCTGTCAGGATTTTCACGGTCATCTTCTTCCTTCCACACACATCTTCTTAGGGAAATAATTTAACGTGTAATATCTCAACTTGGGGAACTTTCTAAACCCTCTGATTTTACTGTATTTTATTTAGTGACTTAGGTAAGTGTCACTCCTGAGACACTGGTATATTAATCTACTCAAAGGTTATTTGTGTGGATATGTTTTTCAAGCATTGACCTCTATATAAATTTCCAAATATGTGGCGCTGCAGGGAAGATATTTGGTCATGGTGAAACAAACAAATTTATTAATTTTTTTCTGGCGGGGGGGGCGGAGAGGTTGTTCGTTTGTTTTGCCTTTCCATTTTGAACCTCCTCGCTTCGCACAAACTACTTAACAAAATCTACTATTTGGGTTTATAAATACTTGCAACAGCACATTTAACCTGTACTTTGAAATCTCCATTAAGCTTTGATATAAAGTGCACATTATTGATTCAAATAATCTGTTGGGAATAGCAAACAGAAATTTCAAGATTAAAAATGGACACTTATCGATAATAATATGCCACAGCCAATGTTAATAATATTCATGCTCTCCTTAGCACTGTGCTGAACTTTATGTGTACATTTTAGTTAATTATACAAGAGATTCTATGAGAGCGATACAATTTTCTATAATTTACAGAAGGAAAAATTTAAAACCTAACAACATTTAGATAATATCCAAGTTAAGTTGGGATTCAAACAGTCTGATTGCAAATTCCTTGTACTTATTTGGAGCATTAAATTGCTTCATACAATACTTTGCTGGACAGTGTGGTATCCAAGTAAAAAAGCTGTGTAGCAGCTGCTCAACAACTCTTCACTATTGTAAAAGTAGCAGGAATAGTGCTTCTTCTCCTATGAAAGCAGAAATCCTTATTTCACATATCATAAATTTTTCATCTTTACCAGGGCATATGATTTACCACTTATTATGTCTATATGTGTGGTTTAATCTTGAATTACTGCTTCTGCATGCTAGATGTATAAACAAAGTCTGATTTATGTCATATGTAAAACAGAAACATAGGAAACTATAATACCATTGCATAAATGAGATAATTTATTCAAGGTCCCTAATGGTGGTACCCAGTATATAAATGTCAACATTCGTTAATTCCTTTCCCTCAGAAATAATCACTATTCTCTATCTTGAAATGCAAGTTTCTGCAAATGTTTATCAGGTATATTCAAATAAATATATTCCAACATTATTTATTGTTAGCTGATTTAAAAGGCAAACATGAACTTTGTAGAATATTTAGAAATTACAGGATATAATATAAAAGACAAATAAAAATAACTTTTTCAGTTTGAGTACTGTCAGAAAACAGACGGCACGCTCAATCCCAGTAATTTTGCAATGCTTAGAGAAATTAAGAAGTTTCCTAGAGGACCAATACTGGAGAGCCATTACCACCCCTCAGCCTGAAAGAAGAAGTGGAGGGAATGGTGGAACCCCACGATGGTAGCAATATGGAGAAGGATTCTTGACAGAAGCCTTGGCCTTCATTAGATAAATATAGCTAAGCCACCGTGGCTTAGCGGGGATAGAGAAAATTAATTCCCTGATGTCATCTTCCTGCTACCTCTGAAAGTTCTTTTGATAACTTCTTTTAACTGAAAATTAAGCCAGAGAGCTAGGAAATCACATAAAGGAGAACATCAAGGTCAGCCTCCCAAGATTTAGAGTAGGATGGAGAACAGTAAACAGTAGATTTAGGGGGGCTGAGAGAGAACAGTCAGCACCCAGAATGATTTGGTCTTTCTAACTGGTAATTCGCGTTCCACCTAAATGCACTTAATAACCTTAGTTGGTTGGTATTGCTGAGGATTAGGCTCCAAATTTTTAAGCTATCATCTTGTATCATGAAGAGTGCCTATAATTCACTACTTACATTAGATAGTTGTTACTATTTGTTTTAATAGTTTATCAAGCTAAGAATTTATAGTACAGACTTACAGAACTTTTCTCAACAACCTGAACAATTCTGAGTACACATCAATCACACAATTTTTTTTTTACCTTTACTCATTCATTCTGAGAAGCTCCCTACCATCTTCATGAGCACATCTGTGATCGCTGTAATCATGTCAGTTGCATTTATTTCATTCTATTTTTGTGTTCTAATGACCAATACACAGTATGATTGTTGTGTTAGGACTTTCTTGGTTGCAAATATCAGAAATGGAATCAAAACTATTTTAAGGAAAAGACTTGTTTAACTTACATATCTGTAGATTACACAGGTATATTTTGGAATAGGTATAGACAAAGCTGGATCTACAGGCTCAAAAATTATATAGTACAAGCCTATACACATTTTTATTATATAAAGTTACCATTTCCTTACATAATTTTTCCCATTCTTAAAGTAGTCTGTGTTTAGACAAGATTAAATTTCTATACTGCTGTGATTTTTAGAGGTATAAATTTAGCTATCTCTATTTCTATATTATCTATATATCCAACCATCCATTTATCTCTATATTTATATTTAATATATATTAAATATGGTAACCATATAGTTATAGAAATATATATTTATAGATGCATCTTTATCTTGCCACTGTTTTCCACTTTCAAGTAGACCTTCTCACTTATAACAGGTAGAAAAGATGGCCCTTGGGAATTAAAGGTGATAGTATAAAATTCTAGCAATGTAGCAGAAAGAGAAATCCTCCAATATTTCTAGCAAAAGCCTATAGGGTCATTCTCATAATCTGCTTTGGGCCGTTTCACCATCAGTGAAAAAATAACTGCAGATATCTGTATATATAGAGAAAGACAGAATACTCTTGCAGGTGAGGCATAGGTAAAGCCTGTTGATGTCTCACTTTTAGATATCCTCCTAAATATTTCATAACTTTTTTTGTGAGGTACATACCTAAATATTAGGTTTCAATGAGAAGACTCTATTACCTAGAAAGATTTTTAAAAGAAAAGATAATGTCAGCCTGGGAAGAAACAGTTGAATTGTTTGAAACCAGCCTATTCAACAGCCTAGGTGCAGAAGGAAGAGACAAGAGTCGTTTACTAAAAGATACGTAATAACGTGTAAGGTGGCTTAGATACTAGGGAAAATGAAACATGATTTTTAAAAATCAAAATATACAAACAAATCATTCTTGAAAATAAAACATTACTCCAAAACTATTTAAAAATTAAATGGAAAGTAAATAAAAGCACATTAACTATGGCAGCTGAAAGCAAAATGGTCTTTCATAATTTGTATATCTGTGGGATCTACTTAAAATGAATCTTATCGATTAACCAATCATTAAAGTAATAAAAGGTTCTAGAAATATGACTCAAGTAATATTAAAGATTTGACAACGTAGTCGAGTGACAAATGTATGAATGAAAATACAATTTAATCCAACAAATTTTTCAAGCCAGGCAAACAAAAGTATGGTCTTGCATATTTAGTAAACACTTGCAATTATATGTGTAACAAGTTGCTTACTAACCTCTTATTTTGTATCTGAACTCTCTAGTGCCATCTCTTTAAAGAAGGCCTCTAGAAAAATTAGGTGTATGTGCAAGACATCATAGTCTCTAATAAACTGTGTCAATTCAAAATATAAAGCTATCTCCTTTGGGTAATATTAAACCAAGTTCTCTGAATTATTAAAACTTGTGCTACAATATGGTATGGTAGGCAGAATTATAGAATGGCCTCCAAGTTTCCTGTCTCCTGGTGTACTCACCCTGTGTAATTCCCCTCTGTGAAAATAGGTGGGACTGTGAACGTGATGAGATACTTACTCATGAGAGGATATACTATATAACAAAAATGTAAAGTTTTTTTAGATATAATAAAGGCCCCTAATCAGTTGATTTTGAGTTATTAAATAGGAAGCACGTTCTAGCAGAACTTGACCTAATCTGATGAGTTATTTAAAAGATGGTTTAGAGGTGAGAAACAGATGCACTCATTATCCTTGAAGAATCAAATAGCCATGTTGTGTAGAGAGCTGTATGGCAGGAAGTGATCAGCAGCTTCTAAGAGCTGAGGTACGCATTCCTACAACCACAAGAAACTTAATTCTGTCAATAGATGGTGAAATTGAAAGAGAACCCCAAGCCTCAAGTGAGATTGCATCCCTAGCCAACACCTTGACTGCAACCGTGTAAGTGCCTGAGCAGACTAAGGTAAGTTGTGCCTAGTTTCCTGACCTGTGGAAATGGCAAAATTATAAATGTGTGTTGTGTTAAGCTGCTAAATTTGTTGTTACACAGCAACAGAAGCTAATCAACATGGCTTCTCCCATTTATTTATTTTGTGTGTGTGAGACAGAGTCTTGCTTTATTGCCCAGGCTGGAGTGTAGTGGTGCAATCTCAGCTCACTGCAACCTTTGCCTCCTGGGTTCAAACGATTTTCATGCCTCAGCCTCCCGAGTACCTGGGGTTACAGGTGTCTGCCATCACGTCCAGCTAATTTTTTTGTATTTTTAGTAGAGATGGGGTTTTACTATGTTGATCAGGCTGGTCTCTACTCCTGGCCTCAAATGATCTGCCCACCTCAGTCTTCCAAAGTGCAGGAGTTGCAGGTGTGAGCCAATGTGCCCTGCCTATACACATTTTTATAACAGAAAATTACCATTTCCACACATAATTTTTCCCATTCTTAAAGTAGTCTGTGTTTAGACAAGCAGTACAGTCACTCAGGAGTAATCCATATGTCAGAAAGAAAATGATACTCTTTATGAGCTTTCTCCTAGAAAAATAAAAACTCTCCTGTTTATTTTGCATTTCCTAAACCAGGTTTTTAAAATAATCCTGAGAAGTTAATGCAATATAAATTATGTTTCCAAATTAAAGAACATCCTTTACTTAAGAACTTTGAAGTGAAGAGATGGAGGCTGCCGAGGAGTTCCATGCTTACTATTATTCCCTTCAGTATCTTCACCAGTGGAAAAGGAGAAGCGTTTTCCATAGATGTTGCAGTGAGGAGCTACATTCAGTAAAATTCACTCCTCAGGCCCAAGGGTTAAGAGAAAGTGGAGACCAAAGTTAGAAAATAAAGAACATTGAATGTCTTTTTTTTCCCTTAAAAGTCTCTCCTATTAGCAATATAAAAATCTAAGTAATTACAGATGGGGATTTTTGGAAGGAGATGCATACAACAGGCATACATGCACTACAAGGCCAAATTAGAGGTCATCCCAGAGACATTCAGAATTTCATTACAGCAGCCCAGCTTGACATTGTGTCATGTCCAGTGTCCACTAATATAAGGTGATGGCTTTAGGTGCAAGAGTGGTGAAAAGGCAGATGAGTGCTTTATCTAATAATAACTAAAAGATTAATGTCAGCTTGGCCAAGTACTGTTGAAAGGCAGAAGGAAAAAACAATCCACAACTTTGTGAAAAAGCTCCAACTTCTGGGACTGAATATTAGATGGAGAAACTACTACTTTTTTTAGTTATACATTTTATTTATTATAAATTTTATTTAACAAATTTATTGAACATACACTATATGGCAGGCATTGTTTGACACAAAGATGGCAGGCACTGATCATGAGTAGTTCCTTCTGCAAAAGGCAACTGAGGAAGGAGAGTGGGTATTTTCAATATATTTCTGCTAGACTATGAACTTGAAGGCCTATATTTTCCATTGTTTTGTACCAATGGTTTCTTAACAGAGGTCCAGACACACAGTGAGTGCTCAATAAATGTATGTTAAATGAATAAATGGATAAAGGATTGGTTTACTCACTACTTATCGGAGAAGTATTTTACAAAATCAAGTCAATAAAAGTATCCTATTTGTCTGCCTTAACATTCATCTTCAAATGTAATAGAATAGTAAATGGGAGCTGACCTATTAGACTCTCATAGCTGGAAGTGAAAAAAGGAAAGGTAGAAAAAGCACATGTTGCTGAACAATAAAGGGGGTTCCATTTATTGTGAGCTTTCAATTGTTTCTAGGAAAAACAGTGGTAGCTCCAACCCTTGTATTTTTGAGGCTACTGAATATGTTCCAGGTACTAGAAACTACAGAGACGGAAATAACAAATTTCTGCCCTCAAGGATAAACTCATATATATAAATAATGACAACCTGGCAGGGTATTAATATAAAGTATCTTTTGGAGTCATGTGGGATTACATGAGAAATAGGCCTGCCTGACCCAGAGAGTTGTGAGTATGCGTGTAGGTGAGGAAAGAGGGTTATGAAAGTGGTCATCTAAAGATTCCCAGGGATGTTAATTCTAAATTGAGTTTTGAAAAATGTGTTGGAGTTAGCTTTTAGGGGAGCAAGGGGGACATTGTAGGCAGAGAGTGACTTACATAAAGATAAGGTTATGAAAGCAGTGAAGAGAATGGACTTTAAAATAAGTAAAACTTGAGGCACGATGTTTCTTAAAAGTCTGTACGTGATATGGGTGGAAAATTACAAGAACCTGGACTAAAGCAGTAGCATGGGATATAATGAAGTGGGATTTGACAGAAATTAAGGGGAAAAATAGACAGGACCTGGTGATTGTAAATGTGGAGGACAAGCCCGATAGAGAAGGGACCTTTTCCAGGTGACTTCCTCAGTTATTCAGTGAGTAAATTGCAGCACCAGGAATTTATCCCAGCTCTGTCTGAGCCCAAAACCTTTTATGCTGTCTTCCATTATATTATTCTCCATTTTTAAAAAATAAAGGAGAAACCACAATATCATTGGGCAGGCATAAGATCATTCACTGGGGAAAATTAAAAACAGAAGTTAAAGTAGATATGGATACTTCATGAGGTGAGGATGAGCTGATAGGTAGAAAGTGGAAGCAGATAGAAAGCTCTAGTTAAAGATTCAAGGCACAGAAAAAGGGAAGCACAGGATGTGTCAAGTCCAAAATGAACAGAAGTCTAAGCCATAACTCGTAGGAATACATTTAGGATTTAGTCACGTAAGAATCCAAACAGGGAGGCAACACACGGAGGATCTAGCTGCTGAAAGAGAAGATTCAGTTGCAGAAAGCCACAAGGCCACAGACAACAAGTTCAAATGTAGGAGGAATAAAATACTAGACAAGGACCAAATCACTACAGAATAACAAAGTTCCTGTTCTTGGAGAACTAGAATACCATAGTCTAAGCAAAGGTTGATGTACTGTTACTTTATCCAAAAAGTGCTGATAAAAAAGACTCTATTTCCCCCATGAGAATGTGTTGTCTCGTGACCTGAGTAAGGGTCAAATGGCCCAGAGAAATTCAGTGGACTCTGCTCTATAAGTTACAAAGTTACAAGGCAAGATGCCAGGAAGGCCACTGAAGATATTTTCCTTTAAGTGGGGGGGGGAAAAAAACACCCTGTATGCGTGCTTTTGATTTCGAATGGTTTGAGTTAAGCCAGAAGAATTGGAAATCCATGTGCCAAGAGCTTACACGCATGCAAATTCTGTTTGTCATTTTCCTAGTTAATATATGTTCCCATCTCTGAGATTTTTCTTGCAGCTCCCTGGTCATGTGTTACAGCTAAAATTCTGTGTAGTCTTTGAAATCTGAAAGATCTCAGTTGAAGGGCTAATTTAATATTTACTTGCTATGTGACTATAGACAGCTAATTAAAATCTTGAAAGTCATTTTACTCATCCTTAATGTGGATGTTGATAATATACACATCTTACCATGTTGTGAGTTGGAGATTATATAATTTGTGGGAATTCTAAGCAAAATGCAAAGCACTAAGAGAAGTGGTACATATATCAATTATAAGTAAAATCTACAGTTGTCACATAAATCAAGATAAATCTGTTTTTCTCTTATAATAAAAAGCAATTCTTGCACTCAGGAGCTTAATACAAATTTTTAAACAAGATCAAAATCTGTACAGTTTAACGATTATATAAAGGGTTTTACGTAAGTTGACCATTTATATAAATTCCTTTTATAACTTTTAAATGAGCTCTATTTTTTTTGTAATGGAAATCCACTTCTCACAATTAAAGAGGCAGGTTTTAAAATCTGTTTTACTAGTTGACAAGTTCTTCAAAATTCCCTACACGGTAATGCATCATGGAATTTTTTTCTCTCTACTCTTCACAATACCTATGATTCTAGTTAAGGCCCACCCAGGTGATCCAGGATAGTCTCTCCATTTCAAAAGTATTGATTCAATCACATTTGCATAGTCCTTTGTGCCATACAAAGTCTGTTTGAATGCTGACATATTTCTGGTATTAAGACATGGATATCATTTGAAGAGCATTAGTTGGTCTACCTTGATTGCCCATGAAAATGTTTCTTGTATAACCACAAGAGTCTGAAGAGGAAAATTCTTTATAAATGTTGTAATTTTTAGGATTAAGTTAAACTGCAAATTACAGAAGCCTCAAATTCCAGTGACTTAAACAGATTTTATTTTTCTCTCATTAAAATAAGTTTAACAATAGAAAATTCACACACAAGGAATCAAGAATCTTTGATCTTCCAACTTCGCATGTCAGTTCACGGATAGTAGCTAAAGCTTCAGCCATCAAGTTCGTAGTCCAACTCACACACAGAAAATAAAGAGAAATAAGTTAACAGACTTTCTAGGAGCCCCGCCGTATAACTTTTCTTAACCCTATCGGCTTCCCCTATTTGCAAAGGAGGTTTTCCGTGGACCTAATTTCCAGTTTCTAATACAAAAAAGATTGAAAGAGTGAATATTGGTTAGACAGATAACCGATGCCAAATTAACCAGGAAGTGGTTCTATTTTGAGCATTATCCAAACAAGATTTCACTTCTCCTTAGCGCTGTTTACAATATAGGCAATCATAATAAAATTTTTATTATGAAAATGTACAAACATTGAAAGAATTTTAAAATATTAGAAGAGTAGCATATCTATATACACACCATTTTCCCATATTTTACTACTCTAATCTTAACCAATTGAAAGGTTGGAAATAAGTTGTATGTGTCATAATTGTTTACCCCTAAACACTTCAGCAGGTGTCTTCTATATAAGAATATTCATCTACACTACCTCAATAACATCACATCTAAGAAAATTAATTTCCTGATATTAGCTAGTGTTCAAGCTGAAATTTCCTCTTTTGCCTTAAAAATTCTTACACAGTATTTTTTAAAGCCAGAGAACCAATCATAGTTAAGCCCATGCATCATACTTGTTAGATCTTTTTGATTTTTTAACCTACAATAATTTCCTATTTTCCCCCTGATGTTGACTGTGTGAAGAAATTAGGACAGTTATCTTTTAATTTGTCTTATGTTTCAACTTTATCAGATAATTTCCCTGTGAATGTTTTAACTTTTTCCCCTATAAGTTTGGACTAAAGGCTTGATTTTTGTCTTTTGGCAAAAAGAAAAGACTTGAAAAAATAAACTTATGTGTAGTTTTCATCCTGTCAGAAGGCCCATATGGTCAGATTGCATCAATATTAGTGATTCTAACTCTGGCTCCTTTTTTTTTTTTTTTTTAAACTTTTGTCTTAAGTTCAGGGATACATGTGCAGGTTTGTTACACAGGTAAACTTGTGTCATGGGGGTTTATTGTATAGATTATTTCATCTTCCAGGTGTTAAGCCTAGTACTCATTTGTTATTTTTCCTGATCCTCACTCTCCTTTCACCCTTCACCTTCCCATAGGCCTCGGTGTGTGTTGTTCACTGATATGTGTCCATGTGTTCTTATCAATTAGCTCCCACTTATAAGTGAGAACATGCAGTATTTGGTTTTCTGTTCCTGTGTTAGTTTGCTTAGGATAATGGCTCTATCCATATCACTGCAAAGGGCATGATCTCATTCTTTTTTATGGCTGTACAGTATTCCGTGGTGTATATGTACCACATTTTCTTTATCCAGTTTATCATTGATGTGCATTTATATTGATTCCATGTCTTTTGTGAATAGTGCTGCAATGAACATACATGTGCATGTGTCTTTATAATAGAAATATTTATATTCCTTCGGGTATATACCCATTAATGGGATTGCTGGATTGAATGGTGTTAAGGTGTGGTTGTCAGATCACTTTGAAAAGTTTTGTGGGGTGATTCTTTGGTACCCTGTAACTAGCCATTTTTGGTGGTTTTAGCATCCATCTTTTTCCTGAAACAATGAGTTCATTAGGGACTTGAAATGGCATTTCTCTACTATTAATATATTCATTTCACAAATTAGCTGGTAGTCTTAGAAAGAACTTTGCCAAAAAGAAAAAACAGAATAAACATGTAACTCTAATATATGAAAGAGGGAGGGAGAGAGAGAGAGCGCGCATGTGAGAGAGAAGCTAAATTATTTTCCTTTTATTACTAATTTTCAGACTAAGGGATTGGTGTAGCAGTCACTTCCACTGATGGCAAATACGTGTGTGTGTGTGTGTGTCCCTCTTATCACCATATTTTTACTGTTTTAAAATGAAGTATAGTCAATTATGTTTTTTATGTTCAAATTATATCAAATTTGGCCAGTAAATGCTTCTTTAAGCTGCCTTCTGCATCTTATTGAAATACACCTTGTGATTTTGAGCTCTTCCTGCTATCAGACACAGTAAAAATTCCCAGGTTCACCTTCTAATTTTCCCACTTAGAGTAATCAAGAAAGATCTGGATGCCAGGTCTTTTGAGGTGCTACTGTTTCTAGGCTCTTCCAACAAATAGTGTTAGCAAACTTGCATGTCATTTCTCTGACACAAAAACCTGTTCTCCTAATAATATTTAAATATTTACATGCCTTTTATTTTGTGAGATGCAGAAATTATTTCCAATTACACTGTCAGTGGTACATTGACTGTAAGTCTTCAGAGTAAAGTTTATTATTTCTTAGCAGGATTTTTGTTGTTGTTCTGCATATGACTTACACAGAATTATATTTATGCTATTTGGAATAATTCTTTTTTTCCATTGATACATTAGAAATTTTATATACATTTAGGATGAATTCAGCTTGTCTAAGTTTTGTATGTTTTGATTTAATTTTTTAAAGCATTTAAATAGTTTGATAAAGCATATGCAGAAATGTCTTTAAATTTATTTTCTTCCATCTCAGTTTTTACTATTTCAACTCCTATAACTAATAATTGTTAGTTTCTTGTTTGTATTTTCTGTAATTTTTCCTACCTAACGTATCCTTATTTCCATCCTTTTCTTGTATTAAGAAAAGGACTACCAGGTACATTAGTATTCACAGTACCTTTTTTTTCTCTTGGAGATCACTACAAAGCAGTACACTAAATAAAACTTCATTTGTTTGCTGTTTATGTGTTTATGTTTTAGGATGCCATAATACTCCATTGTTTTCATGTTCCCTATTGATGGGCATTTGCATTTTTCAAATCTTTTGCAATTAATTAATTGCAAATTAATGCTACAGTGAATAACTGTATACCATTTTACATTTGTAGAGGGGTATCTTCAGGGTAGATTTCTGTAAGTGGGACTATTGGATCGAAAGGAATAAAGTATTTCTGTTAGATATCAAAACATTTGCGAACACTAGATTAGTACATTTTTTACTTCTACCAGGTATAAATGAGAATAGCCCTTTCTCTCCAGCCTTTCCAGCTGGGCATATTGCCAAACAAAATTTTCGCCAAATTGATAGATGTGGCATGGTATATCAGTACTGTTTTTTATTTACCCATTACTTATTATTGGTTAAGTCAGGGGTCATTTTATACATTTGGGGGACATTTGTTTTACAGTGAATTGTCTTTTTTTGTTTTCTGGAAATGCTTTTTGGATTATTGTTTTAAATATCAGTTCTACTTAAGTGTTGGATTTTTTCTCTTCACAAAAATAACTATATATATATGTATATACATACATATACATATATATACATATATATACATATATATACACATTTCTTGCCTATCTTCTACATTAAATTACATTTAAAAATCATTTTACCAATGTTTTAGCTTTGATTTCATTTATTTGAGATTCTTTTAATACCTATCTTCAGTGTCTATGTGCTTTCCTTGGTTATAATTGTTCTTTGTTTTAGATAATTTTGTCTTCTTCCATTTTTTTCCTGCAATCAGTCACCAACTATTTCAGTCTTCCTAGATTTTATTCACTTTTATTCAGAATATTTCCATTTCTGATATGTGCTCTTTTTCACATGTGTAATTGCCTAAATCATATTGGTTGTTCCCATTGATTGTGTTATTTAAACCACGGCTCACATTATCTTGTTTCTTTGCAGCAAGACTTGGGAGAGCTCTCTATTATTTTTGGTCACTACACCATGATCCCAAACATGAAAGAGCTCTCTTTCTCTCTACTACAGTCACCAGATATTTTTAGCCCCTGGATAATTCTTTTTTCTCTTCATTTCCTCCGTGACTTTCACCAGCTCAAGGGGTCCCATCCCTCCCTCTAGCTTTGTCTCCAGCCTCAGTCAGCTCCTGCTGTGCATAAGATGATGCCCAGTGCTCCTCGAGATTTTCTCTCAGCTTTCATGCCCTAATCCCAGCCAGAGATGCGTCACTTCCTTGACTACATGAAGGTCTCTCACATCTAAAAAGGGTTTCCCTTGTGCCTAGTCTTGTATATGTTGTGGCTGTGTACAAAGTCAAGGATCAACAGAGAAGAAAATATAGGTAAATGGGGACTTTCTTTGTGAGTGAGCCTCCTTGAGATTGCAATATGCATCCAAAATCCATGGAGATGTTATAAAAGTTTACTAAGTGTTTGGCTTATTTCTCATTCCTCCCATTGAAGGTACATTTACTCTTCGTTGTGCTATTCTATTAGGACTGAGATAAAACAGAGGTCTTTGTTTCCTAAGAAGATTTGCCCCTCTCTGAAATTCATTTTATTTAGGTTCTTTGTATTCTTAGCTCTCTGATGTGTGACCAGGCAGGTGCAGTGGCTCATACCTGTAATCCCAGCTCTTTGGGAGACCAAGGCAGGCAGATTGCTTGAGCCCAGGAGTTTGCAACCAGCCTTGGGCAACACAGCAAAACCCCATCTCTACAAAAAATACAAAAATTAGCTGGGCATGGGGATGCATGCCTGTAGTCCCAGCTACTCAGGAGGCTGAGGTGAGAGAATCACTTGAGCCCCGGGAGGCAGAGGTTGCAGTGAGCTGACACTGGGCCATTGCACTCCAGCCTCGGTAACAGAGTGGGACTCTATCTCAAAAACAATACAAAACCAAAAAAAAAAAATTCCTGTAATTGATGTTTCTATTAGCTTATTGTCTTTTCTGATTTCTACAGTAGGAGAAAGTCTCATTTGATTTCCTATACTCTATTTGAAAACTCATAGGACTTTATTTTAAAGGATTAAACTTGCCTCCTACAATAATACACAATTAATCTGAATGTCCTAAGGGTTTTGCCTGAACTACCAGCCCAAGGTTTCTTCACCAATCTACCTGAGTAGCAAGTTTGTTTTTTTCACCTGTCATTAATCCATGTGATGACTCTTTGATCTGCTCTATTAGTTATAGAAGATGGACTTTCCAGCCACGGAAGACCATTCTTTGAGTCAAAGATCTATATGATTGTTACCAAACTAACAAGTGAAATTTATGTCTCTAATGAACCAAGTGGTAGATGCTACAAGTGACAGAGCTTATATTGTCATTCTGAGTATTAATCATTGATTTGTTTGAACTTTCTAATCTTTTACAAATATATTTAACCTCATGTTCACAATATCCCTACCAGGTAGTAAATATTATTCCCATATAATAAAATTGATGAAACTGATGTTTGCCGAGGTACACCAATAATGAAATAGCTCTATCTTTTCAGCATCTGATTTTAAAGACATTTTATTTTGTTCATATTTATGGCTTATCTGATATCTCAATTCTTTGAAAATAGGCAAATCAGTAAAAAGAAATATAGACCAAACAAACAAACACCTACCAAAAATAAAAGAACATAACAAAGAAAATTGTAAAAAGTATCAGTCTTGCTTTATTTATCATAGAGGATACATTCCCTCCTGAAAATGGAAGTGTTGAATTAATCAGTATTGTATGGGGTCCATAAAACCCAATTCAATTTCCATATTATATTCAACAAAAATTGAAAAAAAAGTTTACTTCCTGGTCTTTTTTGAGCACTCATTAGATTGTCCTTATGGTGACCGTTACTGAATTTAGAGTTAGGCCCCTATCCACCTGACAATCAACAGTCTCTGACAGAAAAATATTAAATTTTAACACCCAGTATGTATGTTAAGCACTGAAATAGTGTTATATTTGCTTATTCTTTAGAAAATCATCAAAATGTTTGCTCATATTCATGACCATTGGCCAGAATATAAAATATTAATGACAGATAGAAAGATGACTATATTGTAAACAAGGAAGCATATTGTTGAATGCCACACTGAGAGGCAAGAAGAATTAGCTCTGATAAATGATAGTGTACAGAAGAGTTTACTCTTCTGTCCTGACTGGTGCAATTATAAAAAAAGAAAGCAACTTCCCACACACTGCTAAGTGAAGTATACGAGTTAACATTTACTGAGTGCTTCCTTTGTGTTGGACGTATTAAAAACACCATCTCATTTATTCCTAGCAGATATTTTCTTTTTTTTTTTTTACTGTTGTAAAACATTTTATTTCTATAATATAGTGTTATTAACTATAGACACAATGCTCTACATTAGATTTCCCAAACTTCTTCATCTTATAACTGAAAATATAGACCCTTTAAACAACCTCTCCCCACTTTTCCACCCTCAGGCCCTGAAAAGCACCATTCTTCTCTCTGCTTCTATGAGTTTGCCTTTTTAGATTCCCCATCTAACTAAAAACATGTAGTATTGGTCATTCTATGCCTGACTTACTTCACTTAGCATATTGTATTTCAGGTCCATCCATGTTGTTTTAAATGGCTAGATTGTCTCATTTTTATAGTTGAATAATATTCCATTGTATATATTCTAATGTGTATATTCTATTGCGTGTATATATACATATATATGGTATATATACAAAGAATCTGTGTCTATACATACACTATATTTTCTTTTTTGATGTTTATTTTAGGTTCAGGAGTACATGTGCAGGTTTGTTATATGGTAAATTATGTGTTGCAGGGGTTTAGTGTCCAGATTATTTCATCACCCAGGTAATAAGCATAGTACCTGACAGGTAGTTTTTTGATCCCCACCCTCCTCTACCTTCAAGTATGCCCTGGTGTTAGTTGTTCCCTTCTTTGTGTCCATGTGTACTCACCGTTCAGCTCCCACTTTTAAATGAGAACATGTGGTATTTTGTTTTATTTATTTATTTATTTTTATTTTTATTTTTATTTATTTTAATTCATAGATGGGAGAGGAGAAAACTGAGGCTCAAAGTAGATTAAAAAAAAAGCAGAAGCAAGCAAACAAAAAACTTTCACAGTGTTACCTAGCTGGTAAGTGTCAATTTCAAGATTTTAAGTCAAATACATTTGACACAGAAGCCCCCCTGCTTTTTCCTCTATATTAGGCCAATTCAAACATGAACACTTTTAAGGAAAGAACCTCTCTGCTTAGCTTTATATCTCTGTTTTATGGAGGGTGGCTTTCCTTATGGTACTTCAGTTTGCTTTAGTGCTTGTCCTGCTTTCAGCTTAATTGCCTTTCAAATATAGGATTAACTCTCTTCAAGGAAAACCAATTTAAACAGAACAACAACTTGTTTGTATTCAGACTCATACATCCAGTAGAAGCAAGGAATAATAGAGGTCATCTTTTCAAATGCTTTTGTTATACAAATGCAGAAAATAAGGTTTCCCAATGTTACAATTAGGAAGACATCTGGTCTGAACCTAGATTATCAATATCATAAACCTGTGTTCTTTCTAATAAAGAAAACTATGTGGTTACCTCTTACCTCACTCTTTCCACTGATTTTTTTAATGAAAATCTTGCAAGAAAACAAACGTTGGGTTTTCTTAAGAAATAAAATGATCAGTCAATACCAGTTACATATGAGCATGACCCTCAAGAGATTCATGAGTGACAGTCTGCAATAGGAACTTGGCACTATGTTTAAAGCAGCCGCCTCCCTCGGCAGCTTAACCTGATCCAGCTTACTCCCTTCATTTTATCATGGATGAATTTGATCCAGTTCTTCCCTGACACATATATACCATCTGAATTTGGCCTACCATAGTCCCTTCCTATCATAGCGGTTCTTCACTGCTCTCAAAATAATCTGTAATTGTCGGTGCATTTACTCTAACATTGGCACTCTTCTCCTCTCTGTAACATAAGCTCCAGAAGGACAGGAACCTTGTCTGGGTAGCTCAAAATGGACCACTTTCCTAAAAGAGAACCCAGTACACAGCAGACCTTTTTGAAGGTTACTTGAATAACTTTTGAAGAAAAATATTAATTTTGAATGAAAGATATTTGTATGTCATACTCTAGGAATTAGGCCAAATAATATTATTAAATTAATAGGATTATAATGTAATACTCTCACTGAGTGGTTTTAGAAACAACAGACTCTTACATTTTTATGGCATATAAAATTACAAAATGCTTTTATGTTCACTGTCTCATTTGCTGCTTGTAATTATTAACATTGGACATTCCAGTCCAAGCCCCATTCTCTCACTAATAAATATATAATTTTAATAAAAACAAATATGGATTTCAGAGTAATCATTTTGTATAATAAGGCAAACATTAAATAAAAGTGTTTTAAAAGTTAATAGTTTCCTTCTCCCCTATAACAGCCAATGCAATTTAACCAACATTAGCAGAATGGCATACACTTTTCCAAAGCTTTATTAGTATTTCAAAAACCTCCTAATGCAGATTTTCTTCAATACTGTCACTTCCACTCTTGATGCACATCTTTATTACAGTGAGGAGGAAGAAGAAACAGAAAAAAACAATTTTAAGGAGTCTTTTATTCAGGGAAGCCTATTTTGGCCCAATGGTCTTTTAATATTTTGAATAGGTTTTTACTGGATTCCTCTGTGCCCCAAAGTAAACTTTAAAATTACTAATGTAAATGACGAGTTAATGGGTACAGCAAACCAACATGGCACATGTATACCTATGTAACAACCTGTACATTGTACACATGTACCCTAGAACTTAAAGTATAATAATAAATTAACCAGAATGGGAAAATAAACATTCTTAACTTGCAATCTCACCAGCCTAATTCTCAGGGCCATACCATACCCTAAAAAACTAATCTCCAACATACAAACTCAATTGCATGACAGAAGCTAAGGAAACCATAGCATGGACTGGAGCTTCCTAAACCACCCTGCATGTACATTTTTGTCAAGTATAAGTTCTTGCCAGAATTAATAGGATAACTTTCCTTCATTAAAAAGAGGTGTTTAAAAGCTTGTTCTCAGAGAATTTTATTCCTTTATTCTAGATTATTGTTTAAGTTCCATTTTTATTTAGGCTGGCAATTAAAAACATAGATAATAGGGAATAAGAGAACCAGTGACTTTTTCTCAGTCTCACAGTGTATTAGTCCATTTTCATGCTGCTGATAAAGACATTACCAAGATTGGGAAATTTGCAAAAGAAAGAGACTTAATGGACTTACAGTTCCACGTGGCTGGAAAGGCCTCACAATCATGGTGAAAGGCAAGGAGGAGCAAGTCATGTCTTACGTGGATGACAGCAGGCAAAGAAACAGAGCTTGTGCAGGGAAACTCCCATTTGTAAAACTCTCAGTCCTCATGGGACTTACTGACTGTCATGAGAACTGCACAGAAAAGACCTGCCCCCATGATTCAGTTATCTCTCACTGGGTCCCTCCCATAACACGTGGGAATTATGGGAGCTACAGGATGAGATTTGGGTGGGGACACAGAGCCAAACCACGTCACACAGTAAGTGTCAAACCAAGACTAAAATCCATTTCCCCAGATATTTTCCAAAACTGCTCTTCTTTCCAAGGTATTGTACTGAAAAGGTGGCTGCTAAGCAATTCACAAGGATGAAATTGTTAGATGAACTCTCAGAGCCACGTGGTATCTAGAGCAGGCAAAGAAAAAAATTAAGTGGTAGTCAATATAAGGGAAAAAGAAAAAGGAAATCAAACCATATTTAAACATAAGCAAATGAGTAAGCAATTAGAAGACTTTTTTTTTTAGAAGGGAATGATGCAAAGGAAGGTAACAATGAAAATAATCGTATTATTCTGAAAATAAAAGGTGGGTAATGAATATATTGATGCATCCCTTTTAAGGAGAGAATACTTCCAAGAAGAGGTGGGTTATACCAAAGCCAGATCATCCCTCTCCTAATTAGCTTCTTACAGAGAGGAAGTAACTATAGGATAGAAAACCAAGCAGCTGGTTCTGAATTAAGGAGTCTGATTTTTTTTTTCTTGATGTTGTCTCTCAAACTCAGTAGCACCATTTTTGAGCTAAAAGTGGGTGGCACTCTTCCTTTCCATTTAAAAGGATATCATTTATAATATCTAAAAATTTTAAAATCAAATCTAAAAGGGGCCTTCAATGGCACCCAGCTCAAATGTCTCCTTTCATAGGTGAATTCCCCAAATTTAATGGCACAAGTGCCAGAAAATGAAAATAATACGTGAGCAGAATGGGCTATTTTTAACTTGGATAAATCAGACAGTTCTGGCCTGAGACCTAACTAAACTGAATTATTGCTGGAATTTAAAAGGAAAGAGATGAAAAAGGATCAATCCATTTTTTGTGGGAAAAAAATGGCAAAGATGACTAAACTTCTCTGATGCATATTAAGTTGATCTTAGGATAGGATAAATTAGAAAACATTTTGTTGGCTATTTGTCTAAGTTGAGTAGTTTAAATCTGCCATAATATTTATGGCCTCCTTTTTAAAAAATGTTTATAATGCATGAACCAAGTTTATTCTTACCATTAAAAAAATTAAAATATACCAAATAGAAAAAACTTCATAAATTTTACATTCAAAGAAAATATCTTTGTTATTTTACAGCCCTTATTCTAGAGCATACAAGGCAAAAGAAGTTAGAATTTAATGTTTAAGAAAATTGTGCACTTGGCTGGGCGTGGTGGCTTACGCCTGTAATCCCAGCACTTTGGGAGGCTGAGGCGGGTGGATCACGAGGTCAGGAGTTTGAGACCAGCCTGGCCAACATAGTGAAAACCTGTCTCTAGTAAAAATACAAAAATTAGCCAGACATGGTGGCATGTGCCCGTAGTCCCAGCTACTTGGGAGGCTGAGGCAGGAGAATCACTTGAACCCAGGAGGCAGAGGCTGTGGTGAGCTGAGATCACACCACTACACTCCAGCCTGGGCAACAAAGTGAGACTGTCTCAAAAAAAAAAAAAAAAAAAAAAAGAAGAAAAAAAATGTGCACTCATTAGTTTTCATCCCTTTACAGGATGTTAGTCAAGACTCTTTTGGTTAAAAGTAGCAGAACCTCAAATAATTTTAAGCCATGCCATACATGAGTGTATATGGATGCATGTGGCATGTATGTGTACACCCACACATGCACACACACACTTCTAGTTGGAATACACAAAGAATATTGGTTTCAGTCTCAGACAGGCCTAGGATGATAAGGTATAGCCAAATGATTCTCAATCATGGGCAGCTTGGTCCTGCAGGGAACATTTTGCAATGTCTGGAGATGCAGGAGGGTATTACTGGCACCTAGTGGGTAGAGGCCAGAGATGCTGCTAAATATCCTAAAATGCACAGCGCAGCCCCCAACAGCAAAAAATTATTGAGTCTCACATGTCAACAGTGCCAAGGGTGAGAAACTCTGGGTGTAGGCACACTGGTAAGTAGCAAAGGTAGAGTAAATGGGGAGGAATTTAGAATGAGACAACCCAGGAACTGTGATGCTAGGATGGCTCTATAATTATTATAAAGGAGGGGCTTAGGAGTGGCGTTCTGATAAGAAGAGGAAAGTTGGAGCATAGTTTCTCTAACAATTTTGTGAAGTTGTATAAATATCAATTGTGTATATCAAAGAATAGGACAGGACTCTAATGCTCCCCCAAATCCCACCCCATTAGTAGCGCCACTGAACCAGGATGTTAAACTAGTCCTTAACTTGGATTTTTATTATTATTATTATACTTAAAGTTCTGGGATACATGGGCAGAACGTGAACGTTTGTTACAGAGGTATACACTTGCCATGGTGGTTTGCTACACTCATCAACCCAGCATCTACATCAGGTATTTCTCCTAATGCTATCCCTCCCCTAGCCCCCACTCACTGACAGGCCCCAGTGTGTGATGGTCCCCTCCCTGTGTCCATGTATTCTCATTGTTCAACTTCCACTTTTGAGTGAGAATATGTGGTGTTTGGTTTTCTGTTCCTGTGTTAGTTTGCTGAGAAGGATAAATTCCAGCTTCATCCATCTCCCTGCAAAAAACATGAACTTTTCCTTTTTTATGGCTGCATATTATTCCATGGTGTATATGTGCCACATTTTTTTAACCAGTCTACAATTGATGGGCATTTGGGTTGGTTCCAAGTCTTTGTTATTGTGAATAGTGCTGCAGTGAACATACATGTGCATGTATGTTTGTAATAGAATGATTTATACTCCTTTGGGTATATATCCAGTAAAGGGATTGCTGGATCAAATGGTATTTCTGGTTCTAGATCCTTGAGAAATTGCCATACTGTCTTCCACAATGGTTGAACTAATTTACACTCCCACCAACAGTGTAAAAGAGTTCCTGTTTCTCCACATCCTCTGCAGTATCTGTTGTTTCCTGACATTTTAATGATTGCCATTCTAACTGGCATGAGATGGTATCTCATTGTGGTTTTGATTTGCATTTATCTAATGACGATTTGCATTTATCTAATGACAAGTGATGAGCTTTTTTTCATATGTTTGTTGGCCACATAAATGTCTTTTCTTGAGAAGTGTCTGTTCACATCCTTTGCCCACTTTTTGATTGGGTTGTTTGTTGTTTTCTTGTAAATTTGTTTAAGTTCCTTGTAGATTCTGGATATTAGCCCTTTGTCAGATGAATAAATTGCAAAAATTTTCTCCCATTCTGTAGGTTGCCTGTTCACTCTGATGATAGTTTCTTTTGTTGTGCAGAAGCTCTTTAGTTTAATTAGATCCCATTTGTCAGTTTTGCCTTTTGTTGCCTTAGCTTTTGATGTTTTAGTCATGAAGTCATTGCCCATGCCTATGTCCTGAATGGTATTGCCTAGATTTTATTCAAGGGTTTTTATGGTTTTAGGTCTTACGTTTAAGTCTTTAACCCATCCTGAGTTAATTTTTTTTATAAGATGTGGGGAAGGGGTCCAGCTTCAGTTTTCTGCATATGGCTAGCCAGTTTTCCCAGCACCATTTATTAAATAGGGAATCTTTTCCCCATTGCTTGTTTTTGTCATGTTTGTCAAAGATCCAATGGTTGTAGATGTGTGGCATTATTTCTGAGGCCTCTGTTCTGTTCCGTTGGTCTATATATCTGTTTTGGTACCAGTACCATGCTGTTTTGGTTATTATAGCCTTGTAACCTGATGCTTCCAGCTTTGTTTTTTTGCTTAGGATTGTCTTGGCTATATGGGCACTTCTTGGTTTTGTATGAAATTTAAAGTACTCTTTTTTCTAATTCTGTGAAGAAAGTCAATGGTAGCTTGATGGAATAGCATTGAATCTATAAATTACTTTGGGAAGTATGGCCATTTTCATGATATTGATTCTTTCTATCCATGACCATGGAACGTTTTTCCGTTTGTTTGTGTCCTCTCTTATTTCTGTGAGCAGTGGTTTGTAGTTCTCCTTGAAGAGTTTCTTCACATCCCTTCTAAGTTATATTCCTAGGTATTTTATTCGCTTTGTAGCAATTGTGAATGGGAGTTCACTCATGATTTGGCTCTCTGTTTGTCTATTATGGTGTAGAGGAATGCTTGTGATTTTTGTCCATTGATTTTGCATCCTGAGACTTTGCTGAAGTTGCTTGGCAGCTTAAGGAGATTTTGGGCTGAGACGATGGGGTTTTCTAAATATACCATCATGTCATCTGTAAACAGAGACAATTTGATTTCCCCTCTTCCTATTTGAGTACCCTTTATTTCTTTCTCTTGCCTACTTGCCCCGGGCAGAACTTCCAGTACCATGTTGAATTAGAGTGGTGAGAGAGGGCTTCCTTGTCTTGTGCCGGTTGTCAAAGGGAATGCTTCCAGTTTTTTGCCCATTCAGTGTGATATTGACTGTGGGTTTGTCATAAATAGCTCTTATTATTTTAAGATATGTCCCCTCAATACCAAGTTTATTGAGAGTTTTAGCATGAAGGGGTGTTTAATTTTATGGAAGGCCTTTTCTGCATTTATTGAGATAATCATGTGGTTTTTGTCATTTGTTCTGTTTATGTGATGGATTACATTTATCGATTTATGTATGTTGAACCAGCCTTGCATCCCAGGGATGACGGTGCCTTGATCGTAGTGGATAAGCTTTTTGATGTGCTGCTGCATTTGGTTTGCCAGTATTTTATTGAGGTTTTTGCATTGATGTTCATCAGGGATATTGGCCTGAAATTCTTTTTTGTTGTTGCATCTCTGCCAAGTTTTGTATCAGGATGATGCTGGTTTCATAGAATGAGTTAGGGAGGAGCCCCTGTTTTTCTTTGTTTGGAATAATTTCAGAAGGAATGGTACCAGCTCCTCTTTGTATCTCTGGTAGAATTCAGCTGTGAGTCTGTCTGGTCCCAGGCTGTTTTGGTTGGTAGGCTATTAATTACTGCCTCAATTTCAGAACTTGTTATTGTTCTATTCAGGGATTTGACTTCTTCCTGCTTTAGTCTTGGGAGGGTGTATGTGTCCAGGAATTTATCCATTTTTTCTAGATTTTCTAGTTTATTTGTGTAGAGGTGTTTATAGTATTCTCTGATGGTGGTTTGTATTTCTGTGGGATCAGTGTTGATATCCCTTTTATCATTTTTATTGTGTCTATTTGATTATACTATCTTTTCTTCTTTATGAGTCTGGCTAGTGGTCTATTTTGTTAATCTTTTCAAAAAACCAGCTCCTGGATTCATTGATTTTTTGAGGGGTTATTTGTGTCTCTATCTCCTTCAGTTCTGCTCTGATCTTAGTTATTTCTTGTCTTCTGCTAGTTTTTGAATTTGTTTGCTTTTGCTTCTCTAGTTCTTTTAATTGTGATGTTAGGGTGTTGATTTTAAATCTTTCCTGCTTTCTCCTGTGGGCATTTAGTGCTATAAATTTCCCTCTAAACACTTCTTTAGCTGTGTCCCAGAGATTCTGGTACCTTGTGTCTTTGTTCTCATTGGTTTCAAAGAACTTATTTATTTCTGTCTTAATTTCATTATTTACCCAGTAGTCATTCAGGAGCAGGTTCTTCAGTTTCCATGTAGTTGTGCGGTTTTGAGTGAGTTTCTTTTATTTATTTATTTATTTTGAGACAGAGTCTCACTCTGTCACCCAGGCTGGAGTGCAGTGGGACAATCTCGGCTCATTGCAAGCTCCGCCTCCCAGGTTCACGCCAGTCTCCTGCCTCAGCCTCCCAAGTAGCTGGGACTACAGGCATGCGCAACCACGACCAGCTAATTTTTTGTATTTTTTTTAGTAGAGACAGGGTTTCACCATGTTAGCCAGGATCATGATCTGCCCTCCTCGGGCCTCCCAAAGTGCTGGGATTACAGGTGCGAGCCACCTTGCCCGGCCTCGAGTGAGTTTCTTAATCCTGAGTTCTCATTTGATTGCACTGTGGTCTGAGAGACTGTCATGATTTCCATTATTTTGCATTTGCTGAGAAGTGTTTTACTTCCAATTATGTGGTCAATTTTAGAATAAGTGCGATGTGGTGCTGAGAAGAATGTATATTCTGTTGATTTGTGGTGGAGAGTTCTGTAGATGTCTGTTAGGTCTGCTTGCTCCAGAGCTGAGTTCAAGTCCTAAATATCCTTGTTAATTTTCTGTCTTAATCTGTCTAATATTGGTTTAAAGTCTGTTTTATCAGAGACTAGGATTGCAACCCCTGCTTTTTTTTTTTTTTGGCTTTCCATTTGCTTAGTAAATATTCCTCCATCCCTTTATTTTGAGCTTATGTGTGTCTTTGCATGTGAGATGGGTCTCCTGAATACAGCACACTGAGGGATCTTTTAATTGGGGTATTTAGCTTGTTTACATTTAAAGTTAATATTGTTATGTATGAATTTGATCCTGTCATTATGATGCTAGCTGGTTATTTTGCCTGTTAGTTAATGCAGTTTCTTCATAGTGTCAATGGCCTTTACAATTTGGTATGTTTTTGCAGTGGCTGGTACCAGTTGTTCCTTTACATATTTAGTGCTTCCTTTAGGAGCTCTTGTAAGGCAGGCCTGGTGGTGACAAAAATCCCTCAGCATTTTCTTGTCTGTAAAGGACTTTATTTCTCCTTCGCTTATGAAGTTTAGTTTGGCTGAATATGAAATTCTGGGTTGAAAATTCTTTTCTTTGAGAATGTTGAATATTGTCCTCTACCGTATTCTGGCTTGTAGGGTTTTTGCAGAGAGATTCACTGTTAGTTTGATGGGCTTCCCTTTATAGGTAACCCGACCTTTCTCTCTGGCTGCCCTTAACATTTTTTCCTTCATTTCAGCCTTGGTGAACCTGACAATTATGTGTCTTGGGATTGCTCTTCTCAAGGAGTACCTTTGTGGTGTTCTCTGTATTTCCTGAATTTGAATGCTGGCCTGCCTTGCTAGGTTTGGAAAGTTCTCCTGGATAATATCCTGAAGAGTGTTTTCCAACTTGGTTCCATTCTCCTCATCACTTTCAGGTATACCAATCAAATGTAGCTTTGGTCTTTTCACATAGTCCCATACTTCTTGGAGGCTTTGTTAGTTCCTTTTCATTCTTTTTTCTCTAATTTTGTTTTCATGCTTTATTTCATTAAGTTGATCTTCAATCTCTGATATCCTTTCTTCTGCTTCATTGATTTGGCTGTTCATATTTTTGTATGCTTCACAAAGGTCTCGTGCTGTATTTCAGCTCCATGAGGTCATTTATGTTCTTCCCTAAACTGGGTATTCTAGTTAGCAGTTCCTGTAACCTTATATCAAGGTTCTTAGCTTCCTTGCATTGGGTTAGAACATGCTCCTTTAACTCAGAGAAGTTTGTTATTACCCACCTTCTGAAGCCTACTTCTGTCAATTCGTCAATCTCATTCTCCGTCCAGTTTTGTTCCCTTGCTGGCAAGGAGTTGTGATCCTTTGGAGGAGAAGAGACATTCCGGTTTTTGGAATTCTCAGCCTTTTTGAGCTGGTTTTTTCTCATCTTCATGGATTTTTCTACCTTTGGTCTTTGATGTTGATGACCTTCAGATGGGGTTTTTGTGTGGATGTCCTTTTTGTTGATGTTGATGGTATTCCTTTCTGTTTGTTAGCTTTCCTTCTAACAGTCAGGCCCCTCTTCTGCAGGTCTGCTGGAGTGTGCTAGAGGTCTACTCCAGACCCTGTTTGCCTGGGTATCACCAGCAGAAGCTGCAGAACAGCAAACATTGCTGCCTGTTTTTTCCATTGAAAGCTTCATGCCAGAGGGGCACCCACCAGATGCCAACCAGTGCTCTCCTATATGAGGTGTCTGTCGACCCCTGCTGGGAGGTATCTCCTAGTCAGGAGGCATGGGGGTCAGGGACCCACTTGAGGAGGCAGTCTGTCCCTTAGCAGAGCTCGAGCACTGTGCTGGGAGATCCACTCTTCTCTTCAGAGCCAACAGGCAATAACATTTAAGTCTGCTGAAACTGCTCCCACAGCTGCCCTTTCTCCCAGGTACTCTGTCCCAGGGAGATTTGAGTTTTATCTATAAGCCCCTGACTGGGGCTGCTGCCTTTCTTTCAGGGATGCCCTTCCCAGAGAGGAGGAATCTAGAGAGGCAGTCTGGCTACAGCAGCTTTGCCGAGCTCTGGTGGGCTCCACCCAGTTCAAACTTCTCAGAGGCTTTGTTTACCTTGTGAGGTGAAAACTGCCTACTCAAGCCTCAGTGATGGTGAACACCCCTGCCCTCATCAAACTCAAGTGTTTCTGGTAGACTTCAGACTGCTGTCCTGGCAGCAAGAATTTCAAGCCAGTGGATCATAGTTTGCTGGGCTCCGTGGGGGTGGGATCCACTGAGCTAGACCACTTGGCTCCCTGGCTTCAGCCCCCTTTCCAGGGGAGTGAACAGTTCTGTCTCGCTGGTATTCCAGATGCTACTGGGGCATGACAAAAAATTCCTGCAGCTAGCTTGGTGTCTGCTCAAATGGCTGCCCAGTTTGGTGCTTGAAACCCAGGGCCCTGGTGGTATAGTCACCTGAGGGAATCTCCTGGTCTGTGGGTTGCGAAGACCACGGGAAAAGCATAGTATATGGGCCGGATATCACCATTCCTCACGGCATGGTCCCTCATGGCTTCCCTTGGCTAGGGGAGGGAGTTCACCAACCCCTTTTGCTTCCCAGGTGAGGTGACACCCCACCCTGCTTCAGCTCGCCCTCCGTGGGCTGCACCCACTGTCTAACCAGTCCTAGTGAGATGACCCGGGTACCTCAGTTGGAAATGCAGAAATCACCCACCTTCTGCGTTGATCTCACTGGAAGCTGCAGACCAGAGCTGTTCCTATTCAGCCATCTTGCCCTATGGCCTCCCTTTTTCCCCAGTACACATAAGTGCCTTTATTTTACTACATGTCACTGCTTTGTGGGGCTGAGTGCCTAACATTGTATTATTTTTATTTTGCAGATTTTTACAGATTTTACAGATACTTTACAGATAAGAATAATGTGTGACAGAACACACTTTTTAAATGCAAAATAATATTACTTTTTTTAGTCTAATCTTAAGTTATTAGAATACAGCCTAATAAAATATGGGTCTTTATCAAAATGATGCCTCTAACAAACAACTGAAAGTGTACTAGAAAATGTTTCCCTGGTATTTTTTTCAGCTTCCTTTTTTGTAATACTTAGTTTGACTTGTAAGTTTGGGATTGAGTAACAATCTATTTCAAAAGATTAGACAGGTGCATTTATATAAACATATATACAAATACACATGTACACATACACTAGCCAAAATGCCAGCATGAATGGAAAAGCTCTTTGTTAAACTCACACACTCACACACACGCCTTTAAGCTATTGTTTCCTGTGATGGTTAATTTTAAGTCAACCTAGCTAGGCTATAAGCCCAGTTGTTTGATCAAAAACCATTCTAGATTTTACTGTGAAAGTATTTTCTAGATGAGATTAACAGTGAAATTAATAGAATTCAAGAAAAGTAGATTACTCTCCATATGTTGGATGGCCTTATCCAAACAGGTGATGTCTTTTAGATAAAATACTAAGATCTGCCTAACAGAAGAGGAAGAAATTCTGTCTCCAGACTGCCTTTGGACTCCAGACTACAACATCAATTCTGCCATAATTTGCAGTGTTGAACTGTCTTGAAAATTACAGATTTAGACAATTTTTAAAAGGAAATTCTCTTTCAATATATGTATATTTATGTTTATACATATAATCCATATACATATCCTACTGGTTCTGTTTCTCTGGAGAACTCTAATTCAGTTAATCATTTATATATAAATATGAAGAATTTAGCAGAAAAGAAGCCTACAAAAATGGAGGAGCAAAGTCACATAGCTTCCCAACTGCATTGCCTATTAAACCCAAGCTCCAGGCTACCAGGAATTGCAGATATTCCTCGTGCAAATATCCACTGGAATGCTGGCCTGCAGCAAATTTGCACAGCCTTGTCATTTCTGGTCTTCAGGCAATTTCTACTTTCCCAACAGCTCCATCAGTCAATAAAACAAAACAAACAAACAAACAAATAAAAAATGGCAGTGATTTCAAGTGTGATATACTAGGAGGGAGATCTATCTGTATTGCAATATAGTCTATCTTGGCCTAGCTTTTCTCTTGCCTCTGTTTTCCATAGAGCATATTGCTCCAAGAGATGGTATTCTTGCCACAGTTAGGCAGTTAGGGTTCTGTTAGAATTTTGAAAATAGCAAATGTCTTGCTGTGTCAGTGTCCATTTTTGCATATTTTACCCTAACAATCTACTCATTTCTGCTCAAGAACAGTTTTGCAAACATCCAGTTCTATTTTTGAAACAAGCTTAGACCTACTGAAACCATATCCTCAAAAAGAGGATACAATAGAGTTGGTGTCTAGACTACTTTGCCTAGGTTTCCAGCGCTCTAAAAATTTTTTCTTCCCTCTTCTTTCCCTCCTGTCACATATATTTGCATAGTTATGCTATGACTTTCCATTTGTTAATTACATTGTACTAGGACTAATGGAATAATCATGCATATGGCACAATTTTCAATACACCCTTAGTAATTGATACGGCAATTCTCTAGTTCAAAGTAATAATGATGATTTTTTTAAAAAAAGAAATTAGTCTCACACAGAGCACAACAAAATGCTAAAGAATGAGTAGAAGGAAGAAATTTTTAAACAGAGAAAAGAAGTGGGATTTTCAACTTCCTCTGAGTTTTTGCACATCTTATACAAGTATCTCACTTCTACTCTCTACCTCAACTCACCTTCACTGAGGCAGTCTAAGAGTCCATAATTCATAACAAAGTAAAGGTTGAGAGGTCCTAGGAATTTGGCAATCCGTTTCTGAAAAAATATGCAACTGTTTCTTTTCAGTAATGACACTGAGGCTGCGTCTTTTCCTTTTAAGAAAATTGAAACTCATATGAATCAACTCAAACATGCATGCTTCATCAAACAAAAGTACAATTTATGAAAATGTAAATTATCATATATTCATTTCATAAATTAAACATGAGCGATCAAGACCTATCACTTGAAAACATTGTGGTTTAAACTGAAATGAACAAAACCAATTTACAGGAGAAGAGGAGGAATTAAGAAGTATGATACATAATAAAAATTACTTAGATTTTCTTGATGAATGTAACAGTAAAATATCCTTTCTTTGCCCTTATATTTTATTTCAATAATAAATCAGTACTCTATAATATAAAAACAAAAGATATCTTGTCATTAAGAGCTGGATTCAAATTCTAATCATATTACACAATTATTATCTTCGTCAAGTTAATTCATATCTCTAAGGCTTTGTAATATGTAAAATTATGGTAATAATATAAATACAAAAAAATTCCTATAAGAATTAAAGGAAAAAGTATACATAATATTATTTATATTCTGTCTGAAAAATGGTAGGTATTCAATAATTATTAACTGCCTGCCTTTATTTTCCAAGCATAGTATTTTCAGAGTAATTTTTCTTTTTAGAAAAACTTATTTATTTTTTATTTTTATAGATTTAGGGGTTACGAGGGAAGTATTGTTACATTGATATATTGCATCATGGTCAAGTCTAGTCTTGTATTGTATCCATCACCTGAATAGTGTACATTGTATCCATTAGGTAATTTATCATCCCTCACTCTCCCCCCATTCTCCCACATTTGTAACTTTTGAATGTCTTTTATTTCCCTCTCTCTGTCCATGTGTACACATTATTTAGCTTCCGCTTATAAGTGAGAACATGTGGTATTTGACTTTCTGTTTTTGAGTTGTTTCACTTAGGATAATAGCCTCCAATTCCATCCACATTTCAGCAAAAGACATGATTTCATTCTTTTTTATGGCTAATATTATATGGTGTATATGTAGATATTTTCTTTATTCAGTCATCCATTGATGGACACTTAGGTTGATTCTATATTTTTGCTCTTGTGAATAGTGCTGAAATAAACATGTAAGTGCAAGTATCTTTTTGATACAATTTTCCTTTGGGTAGATACCCAATAGCGGAATTGCTGGATCAAATGGTAGTTCCATTTTTTAATTCTTTGAGAAATCTCCACACTGTTGTCCATAGAGGTTGTACTAATCTATATTCCCACCAATATAAACATTCCCTTTTGTTTGCATCCTCACCAACATCTGTTATTTTTTAGTAATAGACATTCTGATGGTGTCTTACTCTGGTTTTAATTTGCACTTCTCTGGTGATTAATAACGTTGAGCATTTATTCATAAGCTTGTTCATCATTTGTAAATTTTCCTTTAAAAATGTCTGCTCCAGTACTTTGCCCACTTTTTGATGGGGTTATTTTTTTTTCTTGTTTAGTTGTTTGTGTTCCTTGTAGAATCTGGATATTAGTCCTTTGTTAAAGGCATAGTTTGCAAATAGTTTCTCCCAGTCTGTAGGCTCCTGTTCACTCTGTTGATTATGTCTTTTACACTGCAGAAGGTTTTTTAGTTTAATTAAATGTTTTTGGTTTTGTTGCATTTGCTTTTAGGGTCTAAGTCATGAATTCTTAATGTAGCCCTATGTCCAGAAGAATTTTCTCTAGATTTTCTTCTATAATTTTAACAGTTTCAGGTCTTACATCTAAGTCATTGATCCGTCTTGAGATAATTTTTGTATATCCTGAGAGACATGTGACCGGTTTCATTTTTCTGGATATGGCTATCCAAATTTCCCAGCACCATTTATTGAACGGGGTTTTCTTTCTTGAGAGTATGTTTTTGTTGGCTTTGTTGAAGATTGGTTGTCTATAGGTATGAGGCTTGATTTCTGGATTCTCTATTCTGTTCCATTGATTTATGAGTCTATTTTATATCATACCATGCTGTTTTAGTTACTATATTCTAGTAGTACAGGTTGAAATAGTATGTGATGCCTCCAGCTGTGTTCTTTCTGCTTAGCATTTCTTTGGCTGTTCAGGTGCTTTTTTGGTTCCATATTAATTTTAGAACTGTTTTTTTCTAATTCTGTGAAAAATGATGTAGGTATTTTGATAGAAATTGCATTGAATCCATAGATTGCTTTGGAGAGGATGGTAATTTTAACAATATTGATTCTTCCAATCCATGTGCATGAACTGTTTTTCCATTTGCTTGTGTCGTCTAAAATTATTTGCGTCAGTGTTTTGTAGTTTTTCTCTGTGGAGATCTTTCATCCTATGTTTTATTTATTTGTTTACTGGTAGCTATTATTAAAGGGATTGACTGATTGATTTGGTTCTCAGCTTGATAGTTATTGCTGTATAGATATGCTACTCAATTTTGTATGTTAATTTTGTATCCTGAAACCTTACAGAATTTATTTATGAAATCTAGGAGTCTTTTGTCGGAGTCCTTAGAGTTTTGCAGGTATAAGATCATATCACCAGCAAAAAAGGATAATTCAACTTCCTCTTTTCCAATTTGAATGCCTTTTATATCTTTCTCTTTCCTGATTCCTCTTGCTAGGACTTCCAGTATTATGTTGAATAGGAGTGTGTGAAAGTGGCCATCCTTGCCTTGTTCCAGGTCTTGGGGGAAAGCTTTCAATTTTTCCTCATGCAGTATGATGTTGGCTGGGTTAGTCTTATATGGCTTTTATTATTTTGATATGTGTTCCTTTGATGCCTAGTTTATTAAGGGTTTTTCTCAGCAATTGATGCTGAATTTTATCAATTTTTTTCCTCATCTATTGAAATGATTGTATGGTTTTGTTTATAGTTCTGTTTATGCGTTGAATCATTTATTGATTTGTGTATGAAATACCATTGCATCCGTGCAATAAAACCCACTTGATCATGGTGTACTATCTTTTTGAGGGCTACTTCATTCAGTTTACTAGTATTTATTTGAGGATTTTTGTGTCTATGTTTATCAGGGGTGTCGGTCTGTAGTTTTACTTTGTTGTTGTTGTGTGCTTGCTTGGATTTGGTATCAGGATGATTCTGGGCATGCAGAATGAGTTAGGGATAATTCCCTCCATATTCTCAGAGTAATTTCTCTTGTTGATATTTTACAACAGGGATAATAGAATTCGGTGGAGTGCCTAGAACAATTTTCTATAGACTGCTATAGATATTCCTCAAATGGATTATACAGCCAAGTAAGTTTAGAAATGATGGATTAGACCTATTACTTTACCATAAGTCTTCTTAAAGCCTTTAATAGGTTAATTTTAAATATGATTCCCCAAAAGAAGCTATATAATGTGGTGGCTCTAATGCATTTGAACAAGTAACTCTTTGTTCATTGAGCATTTTGTAGCTCTAAGATTACATAATGCATATGTTAGAATATTTTGAAAGACTATTCTTGAAAAGAATTGCCAAAATTCTCCAAACTTCTTTTTTACATTGAGTTATTTCCAGCCTTTTGTTGATAATGATAGTGTGAGATCCTATTCATCCTTGAAAATATTACTCAAAGATAAATTTCCGATATTTCTGTCTTATCTACCAATTTTGAGAAGACCACTTTCTCTTTTTATTGCAAATTTAAATTAAACTCAGTATCTATAGTAAGCATTTGCCAATTGTTTTCCTAAGATCCATGTGCTGTCACAACATCCTGCTGCCATTCCTGTTCTTTTAACCACACACACACACACACACACACACACACACACACACACCAGTAACACATACGCACACCTATATCTTCCCAATAATACTTCTATGCCTCTATACTTCTATACTTCTATGCTTCTGTACTTCTATGCCTCTAATACTTCTATACTTCTAATACTTCTATGCCTCATCAAAAGTGTTTTTCTTCCTCATTGTAAATCAAGCAACTTGCGAGAATTTATCACACTCTTGGCTCCAGGGATTGGTCAGCATCTCCCATCCCCTTGACCATAGTTACTTGTTCAGTGACAGGCACAGAGCTAATTGAAGCCAGCAGAGAATGAATCGTAGGACTTGTTGGTGACTACCGTATGAGACACTTCATATTACGGATGATCTGGGATAAGTATGATGTGAGACCTCCAGAATTCTCACATCATTTTCTTCATCCATTTTTTGAGTAGATTCTTCATCCATTTTTTGAGTAGGACCATCCATTTAGGTTCTTTAGGATAAAACCTAAGGAGGTTTAGATGATGAAAATGATGGGATAAAAAAGAGATGAATCTGCTCTTTGGTTCCATTGAATTGATGCTAGCTGGAGGCAACTCTACATCTGGGATTTATATTGGTGTGAGTCAGTAGCTCTCCTTGCTGCTTCCAATCTTTTTTAAGTATCTATTTTAAGTAAAATAAAGCCTCCTAACTAAAATAATTTTGATTAATGAATAATATATATTTATTTGTGTGTGTATTTTTATCCCTTCTCACCACCCTTCATAAGGTCTTTGAGAACAGAAATCCTATTATCTGTCTTCTTATCTCAATAGGTTTACAAAGCATTATGCCTGGCCTCTAAGTTAAGACTCAATGAAGTTTTGTTTAATTTGATTTATTAATCTTTGTTCGAGGTTCATGTTATTTTTAACACTGTACATACTCTCTATAAATTAAAGAATGAAGAATGAAAATCTACCCCTTTAAGTAACATCAAATCATCTGAACTATTTGGTGTTGCTGAAGATAAAAAGCAAATCTCTGCTTCCAATTGTTCCTACATAATAAAGACTAATAATATGTTCCCTCCTTTGCCATGGATAATTGATGTAGTTGTTTCTATACAAAGTTTTAAATAAACTCTTATGTTATGAATAGAAAGAATGTTTAGTTTTATCCTCTATTTATAACATCAATATTTAACAATTGGGGAATTCATAGGCTTATATCATCAATAAACTTCAGTGTTAAGATGACTTCATTTGGGGCCATTTACAAACACTATACTGAAAATACACTATATTGAACAGATTTCCTGTTCAAAGAAATTTAGAGATATTATAGACATGTAGAATAAAAGTATCCACTCTAACAAATGGACCACCTAGTCTTCCTGTTCCCCTCCTTTCCATCATTCCTCCCTTCTTCTCTCCCTCTGTCCTTTCTTCTCTTCCTTCCTTTACTTTTTATAATTTATAACTATGCTTATTATAAACCCATATTTAACTTTTCTTTACTCTTTATTTCATAGATCCCTGTCATATTGATGATTTCCCATCCATTATTTACTTTAAAGTAATAATCTTCACCAAATACAAGGTCCGTGTAAGACTACATGCAAATATTTTAAAGAAGATTATTATAATATAATGATTATATGTATAAGATATAATAAAAGAAGATTATTATATAATATATATATAATTTGTATATAGTTTACAAATTAGAGAAAGTATTATATGTTCTAGGCACTGAGATATGTGGTTTAAGTTGGTTATTTCATTGAGTTATCAAACAATTTGAAAAGTAAAATATATTACCTTTATTTATTTGCTGAGCACTGAGTATGTGTCAGACACTATACAGAACACTTTAGTTGCATTAACTTATTTCATCTTCACAGAAACTTCAATGAAGTTTTTAAAATTATACCCACTTTATAGATGAAAACATAAGACACTAGAAAGTTACAACTCTTGCCTATGGCCACACAGCTAGTAAATAGAAGAGCTGCAAGTCAAAGTTAAGCAATCCAGCAAAAAGCTATGCTTCACTACATCCTACCAGTTTATGGAAAAGTCAGTCAATCCCAGATGAAGCTTAGTTTAAAGCCCATACACTTTCTGTAAGGTTCCACCAAAATCCAAGGATTCAGTGCTTCTGAGTTCTCATTTTTCCCTTGCCACTAATAATAATGTACTCTTGAATAAGCTGTTTAACCCTGAAGAAATCTCAGTTAACTCCCCATCAATAAAGATTTTTTGTCTGTTTTGTTGTTGACATTATTTATTTAAACCTATACCCATCTGTTTAAACTTTAGGCTTGGGCATTTAATTGCAGAAGTACTATTTTGGAAAGCTGTACCTACCATAGGTATATTTGGCTGAGATTTAGGATTTGAGTTTGCTGCAAGACAGTGGAAGGAGAAATACAGTTATTTTACCATCCTTTTCATATATTAAGGAAATGCATTTGGTTGCTTCAGTATCTCATTATGATTGTTTTTATATGAAGGCTTTCCACATTCATTTATTTATTCAGTCAGTCATTTAGTCACTCACAATCAAGTCTCTCATATATGCCTCATGGTGTTTTAGGTCCTCAAGATACAATGGTGAAAAAGGCAAAGCCCCTGTCTTCGTGGAGCATCTTGTCTGGTGCATAGCTATAGCTGGAAAAGTCTGGATATTTTATTTTATCACATCCTTCAAAAATTATGAAATTGTGGTGAACTAAATGTCATTTCCCAAAGCTTACTGCCAATTTATTTCAAATGTGGCATTACTGTGAACTGAAAAATGTTTACTTTTGTTAGGCTTTGGTTGATTCTTGAGGTATAGTAATATAAGAAATTTCCTCCATAATTATCCAGAATGCTGTCTCAGTCAATCCAGATATATTTTGTATGTACACTCCTTAAGAGATTTCACCAAAGTCCTCTTCTTTTCTCCTTTTCTATTTTATTATCTGCAGTCATGCCATGTTTGTTTTTTAGCTATTTTTTTCATTGTCTGTATCTTGGGTGGATTTTAATTTCAAGCACAAACATTTATTTGCTTGTGCTTGAAATTAAAATCCCTCCGTTCCTTTCAAATGTTAGGTTCTGTAGTACAGAAACCATGTATTGCAAACATGTAGCACAGTGCCTGATGTATAGTATTTGCTCAAATAATATAATATAAAGGAAAACTCAATTTAAGTGGCTGGAGTTGGTACCAGTGAGACCCCTAATCACCTTGAGAAGGAAAGTAGGATTGAAGTTTTTGTGGAAAGAGTAAACTACCCCGGATAGTCTAACTCTCAATATGACTGCTGCAATTGTCTTGCTGCTTTCTGTTCTTAGCTTTTACCACACCCTGAAAAATTGCATTGTTGCTAAAAGGAACTTGATTGTCAGCCAAAGATAGTGAAAGGCTTTTGTCTATATCCAATCCTCAATAGCTTTTGCAGGCATAATGCAAACATCGTGCTGCATCATGGATGTGTTTCAAAGTTCACCTAGCAAAACTTGAGGGGCGAAAAGGTAGCCAGCACGCACACAGGTGGCTGCTCTTGCTCTGTGGCACCAACAACAAGGACCCCTCATTGTGATGGCTTTGTGTGGTGGACATCAGTCTACAGCAGCAAGATTCTCCCCAAATTCAGACTCCCAAATAGAGCTTTGTGAGTCATCACCCTTGTTCTTCTTTCGTGAGGGCTCTGCTTTGTCTCTAATGTATCTGCTCCGGTTCTAAGAATGGAGAGAGGCAGCTTTTCTGGCTGGATGAATTGGCTTTATAATGTAATCATTAAATGTCTTAAAACTGGATCTGAATTTGAAGGTGTGAAAATTCACAGGAGGCCATTCTTTGTGTGATTTGGAAATTATTTTCAATTACAGATTAGAGCACGGCAGTGTCTGTAATATCATTTAATAAGTTATAATGCTTCCTTTTGTCATTTTTCCCCTCTGACTGAGATGGGCACCCTTAAGCTGGCTGACAGATTCCTGAGTGCTGACGATCACTGCTCTGGCAAATGGGAAGGAGTACAATGATGCTGCAAATGAGTGCCAATGAAAGTGGTAGATCTTTCAAATAAATTGCATACTGCTTCCAAATTGGATGTAATTGGAGTGTATTCATCAAATTTTGAATTTGGACTCAATAGTAACAGGAAGTTAGTATTGAAACATTGAATAAGAGAACACTTATAAAATAGAAGTCAATGATTGTGTATATGCATATGAAAGAGGGAAGGTCATTAGAAAGTACTCAGTAGCTGGTTTTCCCAGGTCTAGAGACAATCAACATGAAGAGCATAATACATTTATATGTTAAATACCCTCATGTGTATGCATGTATGTGTGTGCATTTTATCTCTGTATATGCATGTATGTGTGTCCATTTTTATCTCTGTATCTGCTTATCTAGGCTTTTTTTATCTTCCTCCTTTTAAATTTCCAAAGAACTTAACTGATTAACTATATCCACTCTTAGCAAGACATATTGTAGTAGGATATACAAATAAAAAACCTAGGAAAACATTCTCTCTGAGTTTATTACTCTTTGAAGCCAAGTGAAGGTGAATATATTAAAATACAGTAACATTTAAGAGGGGTTGACATCCTATGAGATTTTTGGATTTCCAAAGTGATTTGAAATTCTAGATTCTCTTATTCTTTCAGTAGACTGTTGGAATCCTTGCCTACAAAAGAAAACAAGTTTAGGTGAGAAAAGCTATTTTATATTTGCTCAAGTTCCCCATCAAATACTAACCTGAGAATGATGGGAAAACCAAAGACTTAGGAGAAACTGAACAGAGAATAAGGTTATAGAAAGAACAGAGAAACTTCACGGATGATGAAGAAAAAGAAGAAATGGTGAATGGTTGCAGTGGCAAGAATACAAGAATTAGTATTTTATGATGTTTGAAAGACAGATTTAAGAGAAATTATGAATTACTTGATGGTCATTGAAGGAGTCTGGATATTTTTCAGTAGGTCAGTTAGATTGTCTTAAATATTTGCCTCACAGAATTACAGGATTACAAGGGTTTATATAGATAGGCATAATGGAATTGCATGACAGACTTACTATGATTATACGTATATATGATAGTAGTTCATTTCTACATACACATGTGTGTGCATGCACGCACACAGACACACACACAGGCAGTCCATGGCTGGTAACAAGGATTCTATTGTCATCAGAGACCCAAATTCAACATCTTCTCCGTATGATTTACAACTTTTTATCTTGTCCATTCCAGTGAAAAGATAATACCTCCTAGCCTTTCAGAAACGAGTAAAGAAAGACATTCTCTGCCATTTAAATATATTTCCTGGAAGTTGCACAAACCACTTTTATCTACATTACTTTAGGCAGAATGTAACTACATCTATCTGGGCAAGGAATTAGAAAGGTAATGTTTGTTCTACTCAGTCACATAACCAGGTGAGAATTTGAGTTGTATTGCTGTAGAAGAAAAGGAGAATGGCTACTGCAAGAAAAACAGAGACTTCTGCAATAATATGACATAAAAAATTTCATACTATACAAGATAGAATGTTTTCTTAGAAATAGTCAACTTAATTGAAGGAGGGGAGCCATCAGGAAGGGAGACTAGTTAAGATGCTCTTATAACAGTATTTAGTGTCCAAGCTAGGAAAGTGGAGATCAAAGACTCAACAAATTGCAGATTTATTTAACAGGTGGAGATAACAGTATTTGGTGATTCTCTGGCAGCTATTAAACTATTAAAGGACTGAATTTAACTCTCATTCTCAGTTTTCTGGGCCAGAGGTGATGGTGCACCTAGGAGAATAAACATGGGAAGGAAAGTTTGATTGGAAAAATGGAACTGCGAAATGCACAAAAGCCATTTGTGTGTACTAAATGTTCAGGTATTTGGGATGCAAAGATAAATGATACAAGTGCCCTGCCTTAAAGGAGACTCTAAATTTAGTAGTAAGCAATACTTAGTTGAGTGTGAGAGATTTTCTTTTTAATAGATACATACACCTTCATCATACAATTAAAACCTTTTTTGCTCTTGATTTTATATTTATACAATGGGTATGAATTTATTACTCTTTGATGGGTATACTTTCTTCTTAAAAATATCTTTCTGCCTTTCTGTAATTTTTAAATTTTTTTATAATTGTTCTCTACTTCATATCAATCAACATGTGATTTGTTTGATTGTGTTCTTTGAGATTCTTTTTTTTAAAAAAAATTGCTGAGGTATATCCTCAAGTAACTGTTTTTTTTTTCTTTTTTTTTTTTCTTTTTTAAGAAATACACAGGAAAGCTAAAATTCTGAGCTGTTGACCTTTTAAAATCTCCTCATTTTAACTAGATTTAGGAGTTCAGGTTCTAAATTACTTTGCATTTCGAAGGACAGTGAACTACTGTATAGCACACATAATTTTTAAAGAATTTTAAGCCATTCAAGTTTTCTTTTTTTTCCCCTTCCTTTCTTTCCTTTTCCCCTCCCGCCCTTATCTCCATGCTCTTTCTCTTTCTCTCTCTTCCTTCCTTCCTTCTTTTTCTTCCTTTCCTTTCCTTTTCTTCCTTCTTTTTGTACAAGGTCACACAAACTGTCCTCTTCCTAGCTTTCCATACAGTCTCTAAAAACTTGAAATTATCTTTACAATACCAAGCTTTCTTTAACATAAGCCTGGGTACAGATTTGAATTTGCTGATGCTATTGGACACTGGAGAGAATTTTTTCAATCTAAAGACGGAATTTTCTTTAACTTGTGAACATTTTTTTCTATTATTATTTCTCTCCCTCTCTTTTCTCCATTTTTTGTTGTAAAACTTCATTTAGAAATCATTGAAGCTTCTCAATCTATTCTTCTAAATTGAGTTCTTCCATATTTTCTGTCACTTTTTTTTCTTGCTCTGTATTCTGGGAGATTTCCTTGACTTTTTTTTCTTGCTCTGTATTCTGGGAGATTTCCTTGACTTTTATGTTTAAGATGTCCAATTAGGTAATCAGATTCAAGACTCCACTCAAATGTTTATTACAGTCATAATTTGGATTCTTAGTATCTCATATGTTTTTAGATAGCATTGTGGCATTTAATAAATTGCTACAATATACATATAGATAAATTTAATTTGAATTAAACATTCTTCAGGTTGATTTTGCTTCTTGCTTTTTCTCAAATTTCTCAAAATCCTTAGTTGATGACTGATATGCTAAAGAGGAGCTAAAGAGGACTGATACGCTAAAGAGGTTGATTAATATTGGTGACATATATTGGTTTCTTCTGCCATTTTGTAGGCATTTTTCTCCCAAGTAGCCTCTCAATGAGAGGAAGTCATATGCCAGTAGAATAAAGGCAAAAGATGTAGGTCTCAAGAGTTTCTAGTTAGGTATTGAGAACATGGAATTAATCAAAGAGACAGGCAATTCCACACTTCCTCATTGGAACATTTACCGTGTATCAATCTCAATGCCACTTTCACATACTAATATGGCCATTAATATTCATCTCCATGCAGTTTAAAATTTGAAGATAAAATGAGTTGGCCAACACAGAGAGAGAGAAAAAAATATGCCCACAATACAGTTCTGTGCTATCTATTTCAATTATAGGTCTGAGGTAAGGGTACCAATGTCACCAATATAAAGAGTTGCAAAGGGACATTTAAAGCAGAGACACATACATGGTTTTGATGAATTCTGAAGGCAACAATGTCTGCAAAAAGAGAATGTGCCCAGGGAAAGGTGATAGAAAGACCTTTTTCTCTCTGTCATTGGGAATGTGAAATGAAATTAGGACTCAGGTAAAAGAGAATAGGACAGATGAACAATTCAAGCATGGAATATTAAGCACACGGGAAATAGGAAACTAGCTGCCCCCCATTTCACCTTCCCTTCTTCTCTTGTGGTATCTCAAAGCTATCACTGAAATCAACAGAGTAGAAGTACACTTTGGGAATATTACATAAGTCTGGCTGTGTTGCCTAGCTTCCTGCCTCTGGGCAGAACTCTAGTTAAATAATTCTGGACAGATGGATGCCTATCCTTGGAGAGCAGGGACACAGGAGTGAGGATGGACACAAAAGCAGCATGTCAGCCTGCTTCCATCTGGAACTAGTGAGCACCTCGTTTTGTACAAAGGCAGTAGCCATGCTGTTTAAATGGCACTCTGCATGACTTTGTTGTTAAATATGGGCTTCAGGAGCATTATATTTCCCTTATGGCCCAGGCAAGTTATATTTTGGGGTGTGATTTTTCACCTGGTGTGATTTTGGCGCTCACTTACTCTTTTCAAGTGTGGACAACTGGTTGAAGCCAGTTGTGCTGTTTTCATTGTTGTGACATACATGACAGATGACCTTCTCATGCATAGTATGCCCAAGGCTTTGGGCTATTTCTGACGTGTTGCTCCCATTTAAAAGGATAATGAATAACATCCCACTTTATACCTCCCATTCTGGAACTATCTGAAAACTGAAGCAGGAAACACATGTAAGCTTTATTACTGATAAAAACTAAGTAGAGAATAAATACTGGATTTAAAAAAAAAGGTTTTCTCAACTTCACTCCCACCTGAAGCCTTGTCTTTTAACCAGCTCACCCATAAAGGTGTCTGAAAATTAGATGTATACCTGAAAAAGTAAATGAGAAATATTTACTTCATTACATTGAGCCCCAATGCAGGGGTAGAGAGGAATGAATATTCAGATATGGATGTAGAAGGCATAGGTATTTTAACATAGCTGTGTTTACCACATTGAAAATAACGATCAGAAAAAAAATTCATACACTGTCAAAGTAGACAAGTCCAAAACAGAGAGCTAAGAAGTTGTTGAATCGCACAAGTTTCCTTCCGACTGTTATCTTTCAGATAAATCTCCCTTTGTGCCATAAGATAAAGGCAGTGAGTTAGAAAGATGAGCAGATATCTCTTCTCAGCACTTCGAAGATGTCAGAGTTTTACTCTAAAAGCAGAGGGAGAAGTGTTAGAATACAAAAAAAAAAAATTCTCTAAGTTTACTACCTGTAACTCAACATATTCTATAGCTCTCATATTTGAAAAGATAATACAGTACAAGTGAGTGAGAGTGAGAAGATTATAGGGATATTATTCAATCTTTTCTGAAATCATATTTTAACTATGGTAAGTTGCACATCAGCATGACACCTACCTTACAACTGTTGGTAACAAATGACTCACTGTTAAAAAAAAAAAAAAAAAACTTTAATCAAGTGGTCATTTTATAATTATATTGGGGAAACACTAGGAAAATATTCTCCAAATACCACAGACAAGTCAGAAAAGAATAAAGTGTTAAAGATAGAAGATGCAGGAAATCTCATGGATCCCCTTTTAGCACTGCTCATTGACAGATAACCTTACTCAACTACAGGTCTTTGCTGTTTGTAGCTATACTATTTTTAACTTATTTAGTGAGATATAATTCACATATCATAAAATTTACTCATTTAAAATGTGTAACTCAATGGGTTTCGTATTTCATAGGGTTATGCAACACTGCTATCTAAGTTGAGAACATTTACATGACCCAGAAAGAATTGTGGTACCAATGTACAGTGATTTCTCACCCCACCATAAGCCCTAAACAATCACTATTTTTCTTTCTTTCTGTATAGATTTTCTGATTCTGAACATGTCATATAATGTGCATATACAAATCTTTTTATATATTCCTGGATTTGGTTTGCTAGTATTTTGCTGATAATTTTTATATCTTTACTGATAAGGGATATTGGTCCGTAGTTGTTTTTTTTTTCTTAGAATGCCTTTTTGTGGTTTTGGTATCAGGGTAATACTGGCATCATAAAATGAGATAGAAATGTCCTCCTCTCTTTTGTTTCTTTAAAAGAGTTTTATATTCATTGGGATTGTATTAATACATAAGAATTGGTATTAATTATTTCTTTCAATATCTGATAGAATTCACCAGCTGTATTGCCTGGAGCTTTTCTTCACGGGAAGTTTTAAAATGATTAATTCAATTTCTTTAGTTGTTATCGGACAATTTAGATTTTCCATTTTTTTATTTTTATTTTTTGTATACACTACTTTTTTATTTTCTCAAAAGCACTGAAGTAAAAATAACATTCTCATTTTACATTTAAAGAAAATGAAACTCAGAAAAGTTAAATTATTTGCCCATGCTGGCTCCATGGCAAGTTTAGAATTGAGATTCCAATCAACATTTTTTTATTATACTTTAAGTTTTAGGGTACATGTGCACAATGTGCAGGTTTGTTACATATGTATACATGTGCCATGCTGGTGCGCTGCACCCATTAACTCGTCATTTAACATTAGGTATATCTCCTAATGCTATCCCTCCCCCCTCCCCCAACCCCACAACAGTCCCCAGCGTGTGATGTTCCCCTTCCTGTGTCCATGTGTTCTCATTGTTCGATTCCCACCGATGAGTGAGAACATGCGGTGTTTGGTTTCTTATCCTTGCGATAGTTTGCTGAGAATGATGGATTCCAGCTTCATCCATGTCCCTACAAAGGACATGAACTCATCATTTTTTATGGCTGCATAGTATTCCATGGTGTATATGTGCCACATTTTCTTAATCCAGTCTATCATTGTTGGACATTTGGCTTGGTTCCAAGTCTTTACTATTGTGAATAGTGCTGCAGTAAACATACATGTGCATATGTCTTTATAGCAGCATGACTTATAACCCTTTGGGTATATACCCAGTAATGGGATGGTTGGGTCAAATGGTATTTCTAGTTCTAGATCCCTGAGGAATCGACACACTGACTTCCACAATGGTTGAACTAGTTTACAGTCCCACCAACAGTGTAAAAGTGTTCCTATTTCTCCACATCCTCTCCAGCACCTGTTGTTTCCTGACTTTTTAATGATCACCATTCTAACTGGTGTGAGATGGTATCTCATTGTGGTTTTGATTTGCATTTCTTTGATGGCCAGTGATGATGAGCATTTATTCATGTGTCTTTTGGCTGCATAAATGTCTTCTTTTGAGAAGTGTCTGTTCATATCCTTCACCCACTTTTTGATGGGGTTGTTTGTTTTTTTCTTGTAAATTTGTTTGAGTTCTTTGTAGATTCTGGATATTAGCCCTTTGTCAGATGAGTAGACTGCAAAAATTTTCTCCCATTCTGTAGGTTGCCTGTTCACTCTGATGGTAGTTTCTTTTGCTGTGCAGAAGCTCTTTAGTTTAATGAGATCCCATTTGTCAATTTTGTCTTTTGTTGCCATTGCTTTTGTGGTTTTATCTACCTTTGGTCTTTGATGATGGTACAGATGGGGTTTTGGGGTGGGAGTGACAAGATTTTCCAGGTGCTGTCTGTCACCGCTTTCCTTGGCTAGGAAAGGGAATTCCCTGACCCCTTGCACTTCCTGGGTGAGGCGATTCCTCACCCTGCTTTGGCTCACGCTCAAGCTCTGTGTGCTGCACCCACTGTCCTGCACCCACTGTCTGACAATCCCCAGTGAGATGAACCTGGTACCTCAGTTGCAAATGCAGAAATCATTCGTCTTCTGCATCGCTCACACTGGGAGCTATAGACTGGAGTTGTTCCTATTCAGCCATCTTGACTCTACTCCCCTCCATTTATTTTTAAGTCGGTTTAGTAGTTTGTGTTTCTACAAATTTGTCCATTTCATCTAAGTATTCTAATTAGTTACCATACAGTTGTTCATAGTTTTCCCTCAAAATCATTTCTGGCCGGGTGCAGTGGCTTATGCCTGTAATCTCAGCACTTTGGGAGGCCAAGGCGGGTGGACCATGAGGTCAGGAGTTTGAGACCAGCCTGGCCAACATAGTGAAACCCCCATCTCTACTAAAAATACAAAAATTTGCCAGGCATGGTGGCACACACCTGTAGTCCCAGCTACTCAGGAGGCTGAGGCAGGAGAATTACTTGAACCCAGGAGGCGGAGGTTGCAGAGAGCAGAGATCAGGCCACTGCACTCCGGCCCAGGCAATAGAGTGAGACTCTGTCTCAAAAAAAAAAAAAAAAAAAAAAAAAAAAAAAAAAAAAGTCATTATTTCTGTAAGGCTAATAGTAATGTCACTCTTCCATTCCTGATTTTGGTAATTTGAGTCTTATTTCTTTTTTGTTTTGGTTATTTAACTAAAGGCTTATCAATTTTTTTCTGTTTTCTAGGCAGCTGGCTTTTGATGCACTAATTTTTTTCTATTATTTTTCACTGTCTACTTATCCACTTTTGCTCTGATCTTTATTATTTTCTGATTCTGCTTACTGTGGGTTTAGTTTGCTCCTGTTCTAGGTTTTTTTTCATTGTTAAATAAGCTACTGATTTAAAGATTTGTATAAATATATATATTATGCATATATATAGAGAGAGTTACATCTATTAACTTCCATCTAATAACTATTTTTCTTACATTATAAGTTTTGGTATGTTGTATTTTCATTTTCACTTACCTCAAGATATTATCTAATTTGCTCATGATTTCTTCTTTGATCCATTAGTTCCGTAGAAGTGTATTGTTTAACTTCCACATGTTTGCGAATTTCCAAAATTTCTTTCTCTTTCTGGTTTCTCATTTAATTACATTGGGCTTAGAGAGCATACTTTATATGCGCAGTTCTTTTTTTTTTTTTTTTAATTTTCAGGGATACATGTGCCAGTTTGTTGTATAGGTAAACTGATGTCACAGGGAGTGATTCCAATTCTTTAAATATATTAATGAATGTTTTAAGGCCTTATAACTATAATATTTCTAATTGTATAATGTGTAATACTTTCTAACAGGCTCCAAGCCTGGGCTTTGCTAAATGATTATAGCACTAAGGAAACAGTAGTACACTCCTACTTACATATGCATCAGAAAGCCTGTTCCCTTATTTCAGTTTTAAAAAATAATTTTAGGCTAATCATTTAAGGTCATTGTTGTCTTTGTTTCCTTGGTATTTATAGCCACTGTTTATATCAAAAATAATATAATAAATATTTTTACCTATGAGCTATAATATAGAAATCCACACATATCACACAGGTCATAGACACTTTCTCCTACTGTTCTAGAAGGAAAAGTGATATATTTATTTAATCATAATTAACAACAAAACTATTTAACACATAAACACAAAATATGTTGCCTAGAAGTCTGTTTACATCAATAACTTGTCTGTTACCACTACTGAGAATGAAGAACATATATATTAACTAATCAAACATAAATATTGACAAGAGGAGATGCGGGAGGGAAGGGCATATTTAGTGAGTGGGTCTTCTTCATGACCTTTGCCCTATACCTGCCCATATAATAATGAGGGATTGCTATAATAACAATACATTATTGGTTTTATTTTATGACTGATGATAAACACAGCTAGTGGAGCATTAAAAAAATACTACCTAATCTAAAATCACTATGCCTTTAAGGATAATTAACCAGACTTTATTGAACACCCAACGTAATTGCCAAAGTGGAAATTAAACTTAAATTTCACACTCCTCATGTTCTCAGGGTGAGTTCTGGACAGCTTTCCCCTTACCTGAAAATATATTTCTCCAGATAGCAAGCTTTCACTGAACTTTAATGCTGTTTTGCTTTCTTTTCTCAAGAGCACCTGCTATATTTATTTTGTTCAAACATGTAATTTCAAGGCACTTCTGCTGCCATTCCTCTAGGGATGCCATTATAAAAATGATAAAACCATCAAAGTCACACTAGCCAAAAGTATTAGCCCCCATTCATGCCTAGAGTGGGGTATGCGTTCATGGAAGCAGGGACATAATTGCAAGTCATAAACAACTGGCTGGGAAGTTAGTTGTCAAAACTTGATTCTGGATTAAACAAGTGACCTTGGACAATTTCCTTAACTTTGGGGGCCTCGGTTTTCCCTAGCTTTAAAATAAAGGGCTTTGATGAAGTAATCACTGAAATTTAAGGATTTTTTACATCACTAGAGTAAATGAAAGATAAAAAGATTTCACTGTTTATTTCTGCCCTAAAAGGGACATGCCTTCTCCTAGGTATCCGTGGGATCTGGAGTCTTCATTTGTTGATTTAGTTGATTTTTTTTTTTTTGCTTCTTTTGTTTTGCTTTGTTTTGTTTGAGTTAAGTGAGTAGCAAAAAGAAACCAAAAAACAAAGTAAATACCCCAATGTTTAGAAGAAGCAGAGCTAAATTCTTACTGACGAGCTTCTGCACAGCAAAAGAAACTATCATCAGAGTGAACAACCTACAGAATTGAAGACAATTTTTGCAATCTAACCATCTGAGAAAGGGCTAATATCCTGAATCTACCAAGAACTTAAATTTACAAGAAAAAAAACCAACCCCATCAAAAAGTAGGCAAAGGATATGAACAGACACTTCTCAAAAGAAGACATTTATGCAGCCAACAAACATATGAAAAAAAGCTCATCATCACTAGTCATTAGAGAAATGCAAATCAAAACCACAATGAGATATCATTTCATGCCAGTTAGAATGGCGATCATTAAAATGTCAGGAAACAACAGATGCTAAAGGGGATGTAGAGAAATAGGAATGCTTTTACACTGCTGATGTGAGTGTAAATTAGTTCAACTATTGTGGAAGACAGTATGGCAATTCCTCAAGGATCTAGATCCAGAAATACCATTTGATCCAGCAATCCCATTACTGGGTATATACCCAAAGATTATAAATCATTCTACTATAAAGACACATGCACACATATGTTTATTGCAGCAGTATTCACAATAGCAAAAACCTGGAACCAACCCAAATGCCCATTAATGTTAAACTGGATAAAAAACTGTGGTACATATACACCATGGAATACTATGCAGCTGTAAAAAAGGATGAGTTCATGTCCTTTGCAGGGACATGGATGAAGCTGGAAACCATCCTTCTCAGCAAATCGACACAGGAACAGAAAACCAAACACCACATGTTCTCACTCATACATGGGAGTTGAACAATGAGAACACATGGACACAGGGAGGGGAATATCACACACCAGGGCCTGTCGGGGGGTGGGGAGCTAGGGGAGGGTAGCATTAGGAGAAATACCTAATGTAGATGATGGGTTGATAGGTCCAGCAAACCACCATGGCATGTGTATACTTATGTAACAAACCTGCACGTTCTGCACATGTGTCCCAGAACTTAATGCATAATAATAATTTTTAAAAAGGTAATGAGGAAGAGTAGACCAAGATCTCTGTGAATTTTAACTTAAATGTCTCATGAATTTATCTAGAGGCATTCCAATCAGGCAGGGCCTTGTGGAACTGCAATGGTAATAGCTTAGCAGGAGCATCCAGAATGCATTTGCTGGCTGGGTGCGGTGGTTCATGCTTGTAATCCCAGCATTTTTGGGGGACTGAGGTAGGCGGTCAGGAGTTCGAGACCAGCTTGGCCAACATGGTGAAACCCCGCCTCTACTAAAAATACAAAAATTAGTTGGCCATGGTGGCAAGCACCTGTAATCCCAGCTACTTGGTAGGCTGAGGCAGGAGAATCTCTTGAACCTGGAAGGCAGATGTTGCAGTGAGCCAAGATCACACCATTGCACTCCAGCCTGGGCAACAGAGCGAGACTCAGTCTCAAAACAAAACAAAACACCAACAAAACAGAATGCATCTGCTGCTGGTGTGGATCTTTGGCAGTTAAGCTCTACAGTGAAGCTACTGAGATGGGTCCACTTCCTCCACATGTGATAAGACCTTGATCCACGCAGAAGCCTTCACTTAGAGACGGAGAGTTTGCTTAGATGGGAAGTTCCAGCTCTGATTGTTTACTTTTCAACAACATAATTTTCTTGAGTCTTACCTTTGTAAAATAGCTGTGCTTTATGTTTTCTTCTCAATTCTTGTGTGAAATTATTTTTTATTGTCTTAATAAAATACAAACAAAAAAAGACCCCTGGATTGTTGAGAGAGCCATATCATATAAAGTTAAGTGGATGCTAGCAATGGTCCCTTGAACTCAGGCAATTTAGTTGAGATAAATAATCCATCTGAAGACGAGCAAACATGTTTCCTTCCATCCTTTCTGGACCCCTTGATTTCTAGGCACTTCTCTGCTGGTCTGGGGTTGGATTCTTCATCTGTGAAGTGATGCTTCTAGAGTTCTCTATTTGTTTCCAAAGCAAGAAGAAATGATGTCTCCAGTACAGTCTTTCAAGAGCTATGGCTTTATCCAACACATATGTTGATCTCAATTATGAGTCCATGGGGAGGAAGCATTCAGGAGGCTGATGACTTGAGTTGAGGGGAAATGTGCCATTACCAGGATTGGTAAAGATGTGGCTGTTGACTTCACCTGGGAGGAGTGGAAGGACCTGGATGACACTCAGAAGATCCTGTACAGGGACATAATGCTGGAGACCTGCTGGTATCCTTGGGACATTGCATGGTGAGACCTGAGGCACTTTTTATTTGGAACAAGGAGCAGAGCCATAAGTGGTAGAAACAATGCCTGATATGGTTTGGCTGTGTCCCCACCCCAAATCTCACCTTGAATTGTAATCCCCATAATCTCATTATCCCCATGTGTCAAGGGAGGGACCAGTTGGAGGTAATTGAATCATGGGGGTGGTTTTTCCCATGCTGTTCTTGTGATAGTAAGTGAGAGCTCACAAGATCTGATGGTTTTATAAGTGTTTGGCAAGTTCTTCCTTTGGTCATTCTCTCTCCTGCTTGTAAGGAAGGAACCTGCACCCCTTCACCTTCCACCACGATTGTTAAGTTTCCTGATGCCTTCCCAGCCATGTAGAACTATGAGCCAATTAAACCTGTTTTCTTTGTAAATTACCTAGTCTCAGGTATTTCCTTATAGCAATTTGACAACAGACTAATACACTGCCAAAACCAAGTCTCCCAGGTATCCACCCAGTTGATGACCTAATTAAGAGGAGCCAAGAAATTCACAGCAGACATTTGTGGCAAATTGCAATCACACACCCACATATCAAGTAAGGAGAAAGTTGAATTATAAAAGGAAACGTATAATTTTAGCACAAACTATATCTTAAATCTGAATGTAAATAATAGAAACAGTTTGGTAATGAGGCATGAGGAGTTAACTGTACATCAGAACATGCTTTGCCTTAGTGATCCTGATGCAATGGAGTCTTGAGAGAATCTAGATGCCTGTAATTTAACTGTGAAATGTATCAGAAATCATGAGCATTTCAGACAGCATCATAAAATTCAAGCTGACAGCAATATTTTGAATACAGTAGACATTGCTTTAACATGCAGGCAATATTATGGACACATGATCATAGTCATATGGGAGAGACCTCATGTGGGTATAAAGAATATGGAAAATCTTGTGATCAGTCAGCTCTCATGTCCCAAGAGATATGTAAGTAGCAAAACTTTTCAGGAGAAATCAAGACTCAGCTCATTTCAGAGAATACACATGGGAGAAAATCATATGTGTGTAAAGAATGTGTGAAAACCTTTCAACTCAAGTCAAATCTCAGAAAATATCAGGATATTCACACAATCGAAAAATTCTATGAATGTAATGAGTGTGGGAAAACCTCCTGTTTGAAGGCAGTCCCCACTAGACATCAGATAACTCACAGGGGAAAAACCTTATGAATCTAGTGAATATGGAAAAGCTTTTCACTGGAAGTCTCACTTCAGGTTGCATCCACTCATTAACACAGGGGAAATATCCTATAAATGTCATGAATGTCAAAAAAATTTTTCACTGGAATGCAAACCTCAGGAAGTCTCAGGCTATTCACAGGGGAAAAATCTTATGAATGTAAGGAATGTGGGAAAACCTCCTGTGAGAAGAGAGGCCTCGCCACACTTCAGAGAACTCACAGACGCAATAAACCTTATGAATGAGATGAAAGTGGAGGCTGGACGCCAAGCCTCAGGAATCCTCATGGCATCCAAACTTGGAAAAAACCTATGAATGTCATGAATGTTGGAAAATCTTTTGGCCAGAAGTCACACCTCAGCAGACATCAGAGAACTCTCACTGGGGAGTAAAAACCTATGAACATCGTGAGTATTGGAGAACACTTTGAACTGGTTACTCATCACTAGACACAGAAAACTCACAAGTGGAAACCCTTATGAATGTAATAAACATGGAAAAGCCTTTTGCCAGACATTATGACTTAGCAGGCATTAGAGAAGTTAACACAGGGGTGCAATAATGTATGTCAGATCCTGACTGTTCTCCGAAAATTATTCTCTATGCTTCAGGACACACACTTTGCATTTCTCAGTCTGCTATTTTTGTGGTATGATTAGTACCATGCAAAACTGAGATTTTTATAGGGAATATGGTCAGAAATGATGAACATTATTTAGAGCCTTGGCAACAAATACCGTTTCTGTGGTCCTCCACAATTGCTTATGCCTTGTGGGGATGAAGGTCAGATGACCCCAAAGTTGACCTTGGGAGCCACTAGTGGTAACTGATCACTAAGATTTAAGAAAGAAGAAATGTATTGAAGAGAGGAGAGGTCTTCCCACCTCTATTCCCAAGAACTTTCCCTTTGTACCTTACGTAAGTGAGAGAATACATACCTAATCTTTTGAAGCATCAGATGTGTGATCTGTTTTGGTTACAACACAAACAGCCTACTGCAGCTAATTCACTTTCAGAGCTTCCTGAGAGAATTTGACAGTCCTTGTATATAACAAAATTCACATAGGAAAGAATCTTGTGTTGTTGCTTTTAACAGCAATTTAGTTTATTAAAAAACAAAACAGAAAAACACTGCAGCACATTGGAAATGCCAGATCAGGCAGGCCATCTTATTGATCACTGAGAATAAAGTAAATCTTTATAAATATCAAAAAGAAAAAAATTAGGCAAATAAAAGATTGTATAGAGGCATTCTTTTTAAATATGATTTTGTTTCATTATCTATATAATAAATATAAGTAAAACCACTTCAATTCAGTTAAACTCAGCACACATTAATCAATAGATGCTTATTCGGAAACATTAGATAAAGTAATCCCAATTTGTATAATTCTAAGATCATGTGCACATGTACCCTAAAACTTAAAGTATAATAATAAAAAAATAAATTTAAAAAAAAAAGAAAAATAAAAAATAAAATAAATAAAATAAATTAAAAAAAATGTTAAGGCAGAGATTAGAAGAAACAGCTCTGGTATTAGGCTTCCTTAGCTAAAATCCAGGGTCTTTCACTAACTACTTGTGTTCTTAGGGAATTTACATAAGCCCTCTGATCCTCAGTTTTCCCACTTGCAAAATGGGCTGATAATAGTACTACTTCTTCATGTGGACAGAAAGACTAGATGAACTAACATAAAGTGTTACAACACTGCACGGCACACTCAATAAATGTCAGAAAATATTATTCATCCTTTTATCCCCTGTAAGGCATCCCTAAATTATTTTCTCATCATAAAGCTTTCAACAGAATTTGTTGTATTGAATGAAATTCAGCTGAAAATAAACTAACTTTTTTACAATGTGAATTCCCTAACTTACATCATATAAAATTTCATATTTTGAATATCATGTTCTTTAAAAATCAACAATGCCAACATAGCATTTCATGATGAAGGGTGGTTAATGATGTTTAGATTGCTAACTCTCAAAATGTGAATGTCACTGGAAAGATGATTAGTAAAACATTATACTAGAACACACTTTTTATTTTTGAAAATACGTTTTTAAAATTTTATTTTTCTGCTTCATATTGCTACCTTCACACTGTAAATACCACAGGTGTTCATTAAGAATGCAATGGTAACACTCCAATCAAATTAATATTAACTGAGTTGCCACTGAGTGATGAAAATATGCTATGTAAATACTGATCTGTCTCCTCAGGGTACTTTACTGAGAATGACCAATGGGTCACTGAGGAAAAATGCTTGGAGAGTTTTTGACATAGAGTGGAATCTGACTGAAAGAGCTGATGCCCAACTTAGAAAAATTTCACCTGATGATATGCAAATAACTAGAAAATGAGTCTCGTCTTTGACATCACTCTGCAATCCAGAACAAAGTTGGTATAGGAATTTGGTAATTCAAAAGTCCAAAACTTCTTACCCGGAATAGTAATTTACTTAAGGTCTATATTTGTAATAGCAATGAAAGCGCCGCCACAGAAATTTTTAGGGAAAGTTTCAAGATAATATCTTGTTTGTCATCACAGTTGTGTTGTCTTTCCCAACTACAGGGGAAATTTCTATGGTGCCAGGACAAAAAGGTATAATCTCCTGGTACAGCCAATCATTACCCTTCTTTTCTCCATTTATAAAAGTAAACAAAATACAGACTACAGCCAGATGCCTGATTGATCATATACTGAACCAGCTCTTCTTATGAGTCTCAGTTGGCCAATCATAAAAATATCTGTGGAGAAATTAAACATGTAATGAGATTAATTTCCAGTGGGATAACTTTGGACATGTATAGGAATTATATATTAGAGTTTTTGAATCACTTATCTCCTACATTTACATCCACTCTTTGGGCAAGTTACACTTTTAGCATTCAACATTTTGCATCTGTAAAGTGGAGTTTTAGACATAAAGTACAGGCAATTTTTGCTGAAACATATACTGATGGTCATCTAACCCCCTCTCATTTCTAAATTGAGATACAAGACCAGAGAAATCAGAAAATCTTAGAATGGCTGTACAGTGAGTTATCAGTGGAACAGATACTGGAATACAAATGTTCTGAATAGAAATTCAATAAGCTTTTTCTGCTGCTAAAAGCTTATATGATCTCCATAGTTACCTTCAGGTCTAAAATTTGCAGAAACTACTTCAACCCTGTCTCCCTGGAGAATCACACTTTAGGCTTTGAGACAGAGTTTAAAGGTCGGGTTCTCACTGTAACTTTCCCCAGCACATTGAAGCATTGATAGTAGATTCCTTCTCTCTGGTTCCATTGTATTTGATTCTTATCTCTATCCTAGCATTTATCTTATCACATTTCAATTATTTATATATTGGTCTATCTCTCCAGCTGCACCTGGAGTGGTTTTGCTGCCTAAGTTCCAGGGGCCTTTTTTAGTACCTGACTTGGTTGTTGGTGCTCATAAATATTTTGTAAATTAGTAAATAAATAAAGTTCTCATCTGGGCTCCCAGCTTTTCTTGCCATGGCACAAAACTTGCCTAAGAACTTGTGACACAAGTCAAATTCATATACTCAATAATTTCATAATGAGACACTTTATACTTTTGTAATGACTTTTACAATGAAGGAATACTAGGCAGTTGATCTTTTTTTTTTTTTTTTTTTTTTTTTTGAAATGGAGTCTGGCTCTGTCACCCAGGCTGAAGTGCAGTGGCACTATCTCTGCTCATTGCAAGCTCCACCTCCTGGGTTCACACCGTTCTCCTGCCTCAGCCTCCCAAGTAGCTGAGACTACAGTCGCCTGCCACCACATCCAGCTAATTTTTTGTATTTTTTAGTAGAGATGGGGTTTCACCGTGTTAGCCAAGATGGTCTCGATCTCCTGAACTGGTGATCCACCCGCCTCGGCCTCCCAAAGTGCTGGGATTACAGGCGTGAGCCACGGTGCCCAGCCAGTTCATCTTTTTATGATGCATAATGACCTGCTGTGTGTTTTAAAGAAACTTGATCTACCATTACTTTTACCCAACACTTTCCATTTCTGGAGAATTTTCACATTCATTGTCTTACATGATCTTCACAGCAACCCTGTAATGTAGGTGGGTACAGACATTATTTTCACCTTCTCATAGAAGACTTCAAAAAACTCAGATAATTGAAAGACTACCATTTTGAAATGAGGTATTCTGACTCCAGATTTATTTCATGTTCCATTCTAACATGGTGCTCTTTTTAAACATTTCAACTCTCCAGAAAGAAAAATCCACAAATAAACCTGTGTTCTAAATTAGCCAAGGCTCTTTGAGTTGCAAATGGTAGACCCAGATCAACCTGTCTTAAGTAAAATAAAGAATGCATTGTATCACAAAAAAAGTAGCTAGAGAAATACCTTCAGGCACACTTAGTTACAGCGAATCGTACTAAACAACCAGAAATCATACTGTTGTTTTTTTATCTTTGCATCTACTCTTCTCTGGGTTGATTTTAATCTCCAGCAGTATATGTCCCTTAAATTTGCAAAATGACTGTGAACAGCTACAGAGAGTCATTACAAATTTGCAACTCAAAGAGAGCAGTTGAGCAAATATCTACAACCTGTCCTTCAGTGACCCAACAGGAGCCTTGTGTTCAACACTCACCAGTAAATGCAGTTATAAGAATGAAATCCTTAGATTGATGAGAACTGGATGAGGGACTGATTCCCGAAGACTACACTGACATCAAACCCAACAGAATGGCCCAGAAAAAGAGTGGAGGAGTGCTTCCCCAACAATCTTCAGAAGTTATCAAGTTGAACCCTGCTTAGTTTATTTGATACTTCCTTTTGATGCATAGTTTATTCCAATAAGTGTTTAGAAGTAAGGGGTTTAGTAACTTGAGTATGAAGTCAAAAAAATAGCCTTGTTCAAACAGGAAATAAGAGCAAACCTATCTTACCTATTTGCTGCACTAATAAAAAAAAAAAAAATTCCCTACTGGCTAAGAGATTGCAGCTGTGCACAAAATGAGCGGACTCCCTTCAGCCTGGTGCATCCTCAGCAGAACTGTTGGCTGCGTTGTACAGGATCTGTTAATTTTAGCTATAAAGAAGGTGGAGAGAATAAAGCTGGGTTTTCAGATCACCACAAGAGCTATAACATAATCACCATTTATTATATCTTTATTACCTTGTATGAATAAATAATGTCCCTCAATAGAAAAGTCCTTCTTTCACTTAAAAAGTGAAGCAAGTGGATTAGATATCAATAGAGAATGAATATGAAAATTCTTTCCTGCCTTTCAACTTAGTTTTCAAGAGAATGATATAATTTCATAAGTAGGAGGGATTGTGAGAAATTTGCCAAAGTTGGAATATTATCTTGACCTTTTGTTAATCAGTACCAAGGCTGAGGTTGAATATATATATTCTACTTTAAATATATTTTGATGGTAATTTCTCCCTAAATATGATGGGATTGTTATTTAAGTAAATCTTTCTAGAAAATCAGTTTGGAGCTTTGGAGGAAAAAATGTATTAAAAAAAAAAAAAAAAAAAGAAAGAGACCAAACTAAAGATTTTGTCATTTAAGAGTCACACAGATCTGGGTCATTAATTCATTCATTTAAAAGAAATTTATCAGCATCTACTCTATGCCAGGAAATGTTCTAGGTACTGGGAATGCAGCAGAGAAAATAACAGACAAGCTCCCTGCCCTCATGTAACTTATAGTTCAGTACAGGATTTGGAAAACTTTTTCTGTAAAGATCCACACAGTAAATAATTTTGACTATGCAGGCCAGACTATCTCTATTGCAACTGTTCAACTGTGTCATTGCAATGCTGAAAGCAGCCAGTAATTATCCATAAACAAATTGGGGTGGTTGCATTCAAACAAAACTTTATTTAAAAGAACAAGTGACAGGTGGTATGTGGCCTAATGGTTATAGTTTGCCTACCCTTGGTCTAGCAGGCTGCTGCTTGAGGCTTTCCCACATGACTAGTTGTAGGGCCTGGGTCATGTTACTTTTTCTTCCAAATTTGTTTTTGCATTTTTAAATGTTAGTAGTAGTAACTACTTCACATAGGCATTTAAAGAATAAAGGGGCCGGGCCCGGTGGCTCATGCCTGTAATCCCAGCACTTTGGAAGGCCAAGACAGGTGGATCATGATGTCAGGAGTTCAAGACCAGCCTGGCCAAGGTGGTGAAACCCCGTCTCTGCTAAAAATACAAAAAGTAGCCAGGTGTAGTGGTACACGCTTGTAATCCCAGCTACTTGGGAGGCTGAGGCAGAAGAATTGCTTGAGCCTGGGAGGTGGGGGTTTCAGTGAGCCGAGATTGCACCACTGCACTCCAGCCTGGGCGACAGAATGAGACTCCGTCTCAAAAAAAAAAAAAAAGAATAAATGGATTAATTTATTCAAGAGGACCTATTACTCGTAATAGGAACTTAATAAATATCATTTAATTCTGAGCCTAATTCTCTCACTTTATAAATAAGGAGACCAGTAAACTAGAAAATCCCACAGCACATACATTCTGAGCTTCCTAACTACTTTGTTATTTCTAGTTTCCTTGCCCTTGACCATTCTATCAGTAAAAAAGTAGCAACTTATAGGCCAGGCCCAGTGGCTCACGCCTCTAATCCCAGCACTTTGGTAGGCCAAGGTGGGTGGATCACAAGGTCAGAAGATCAAGACCATCCTGGGTAACATGGTGAAACCCATCTCTACTAAAAATACAAAAAAAAAAAAAAAAATTAGCTGGGGGTGGTGGCAGGTGCCTGTAGACCCAGCTACTAGGGAGGCTGAGGCAGGAGAATGGCGTGAACCCGGGAGGCGGAGGTTGCAGTGAACCGAGATCATGCCACTGCACTCCAGGCTGGGCGACAGAGTGAGACTCTGTCTCAAAAAAAAAAAAAAAAAAAAAAGTAGCAATTCATAAATTAACCCTGTAGATTTGAAAAACTAGTATTATTTTGATCCCAATTTTATTTCCAAGGCATACAGATAAAAAGTACTTAAGAATAGATATTGACATTATTAACATGACCTTGGCAAAAATAAAATAACAAAAGTGAGATACTTATTTTTAATTTGATAAATTATGAGTAGGCAATTTCAGAATATCCCCCAATCAGGCAAGAAATATATGCATTTATGATGGGCCCAAATTCATCTCTCATTAACATACTGTGTAGCACACAAAGAATATATAAAATGTTTTTCTTCTCTTCCAGAGTCCTTTAATGTAGTCAGATAGATAAAATATCTGTTTATTCAATGTTCACTGAGGGTCCACTATTAGCCAGACTTTGTTCTAGACATTGGGGACACAAATTGCTTAAAAAGACAAATGTCCCTGCCCTCCTGGAGGCTAAATTCTAGTAGAGGGATACAGACAACAAATAGAACATACGAGTAAATTTAGAGTATGAATTTGGAGACCAATCAAGGTGATAAAATAATTTGGGGGATGACAGTTATAGTTTTTTGTTATTGTTTTGGTTTTGGTTTTAGTTTGTTTATGTTTTTGTTTTTATTTTTTAAGGACAGTCAAGGAAGGACTTACTGAAAAGGTGAAGTGAGAAAATGTTTGCAGAAGATGAGAAAGTGAGCTACAGGGACAACTAGGGGAAGCATATATCAGGCAAAGCAAACATAAAGTGCAAGGGCCCGCAGTGGGACCAGACCATGCCTAGTGGTGAAAAACAGTAGGTCGCTGCATTGAGATCACAGTGTGCTGACAGGAGAGTTGCCAGAGGTAAGGTCAACATTCAGTGAGGCCTGGTGAGCATGGGACATGAAGGTCACTTCAAGGGCATTGCCTTATACTTCTAATGAAATAGTCATGGCCTGGCTGAGCATGGTGGCTCAAGTCTGTAATCCCAGCACTTTGGGTGGCTGATGGATCACGAGGTCAAGAGATCGAGACCATCCTGGCCAACATGGTGAAACCCCATCTCTACTAAAAATACAAAAATTAGTCAGGCGTGGTGGCATGTGCCTGTAGTCCCAGCTACTCGGGAGGCTGAGGCAGGAGAATTGTTCGAACCTGGAAGGCAGAGTTTGCAGTAAGCCGAGATCGTGCCACTGCACTCCAGCCTGGCAACAGAGCAATACTCCATCTGAAAACATAAAAAGAAAAGGAAAAAGAAAGTCACAGCCGGGAACGGTGGCTCACACCTGTAATCCCAGCAATTTGGGAGGTCGAGGCGTGTGGATCACCAGAGGTCAGGAGTTCAAGACCAGCCTGGTCAACATGGAGAAACCGAGTCTCTACTAAAAATACAAAAATTAGCCAGATGTGGTGGCATGCACCTGTAATCCCAGCTACCCAGGAGGCTGAGGCAGGAAAATCGCTGGAACATGGCGGGCAGAGGCTACAGTGAGCCGGGATTGTGCCACTGCACTCCAGCCTGGGTGACAGAGCAAGACTCCATCTCCAAAAAAAAAAAAAGAAAAAAAGAAAGTCATTGGAAAGTTTTAAGCAGAGGAAAGACAGGCTCTGACTTACATATTACAAGGATAACCATGGATTCTCTGAGGAAAACAGACTGTAGGGAGTTGGGACAGAGTAGTGCAATCTGCAATTACAATGTGTATATGTGAAACAATGATGCAGGTTGACCTAATCCTTATCTTGGGCCACTTAATATAGTGAGAAAAAAGGAAAGATCCTTGGATAATAAGCACTCACTCATAGTTCTCGCTTCCATTATTAATTAGGAGAACATGATTCGCTCTGGCTTCCAGAAATCAAAAACAACTATCAGAAAAGTTAAAGCCCACAAAAAATATAATAAAAAAGAATAACAATGCTTTTAATCCCTAGCAGCTGCTCATCCCTGACTGCTCCAGAGCGAAAGTGGACCATCCTCCCCCGAGCTCGAACTACTGATCCCAAACCACCTCTGGCCTCAGAGGTCTGAGCCATTTTTCTCTTCCTTTACATCTCTAACAGCCTCTCAGTCAGGCTTTCGATCAGTAAGCAACCAGAGGTCTCCAGCCTCAGTTGGGAACTCCAGCTGTAGTTGAAGTCCTCAATGGAGCAGCTGCTGACAGTGCTGTTCTTCACCATGCTGGGGTCTAGCACTCTGAAATCCCTGCTGCCATTCTCTCCAGCTCAGCTGGTGTGTTACGTTTCGGGCCGCTTCTGGCAGATGGCATCTCAGCCTCTTCCCATTCAAGCCTTGAAGGCTCATTTCAGGCATACATTCAGTCTGTAATAGCTCTATTGAGTCTTGGAGCATTTGAGTTAGTGCTTTCTCTCTTGGGTGCACACACCAGGCTCTTCAAGCAGGACAGGAGAGAGGCTGGTTTGACAGATTCTGTTCAACTAACCCTTGCCAACTTTGTATGCCTAGACTGGAGCATTTTCTAGGAAATGTATTTCTCCTGGCCAGGAAATTTGCCTTTATTACTCAAGTCACACTCCTACTTCCTTAGAGTGACACTTTTTGGGGGCAGGAGTTATGTTTCATGTGCCTTTGAGTCTCTATTTTCCATAATCACGCTGTCATTAAAAGTGAAATGAGCTAATGAATGAATGCCTCAAACTACCTAAACAGCCCTCTCTGGGGCTTCCCAAAGCTTTCTGTTTATATTTAATTATTATAATTGTTAGTCTTCTGAAAAAATGAGCATAGCTAATTTTTGTTCATGTTAGTAATGCAAGCTAGACTATAGCAACCATTTATTTTGGAGAGACCAATACATAAAGTGTGGATGTGATTATGACCTACAGATATTCCACAGTTGTAATGGAAAGGTAAGATTTTATTTAAGTAGTAGGGCTTGAACAAGAAAATTAAAGAAGGATAGGACTTAATTAAGTAGAGGAAAAAATGTTTCAGGTAGAACAAAAGGAGCAAATTATCAGTATGAGGATGGGCTTGGAATATTAAGGGTAACAAGAGCAGGGAAGAGTAGCAGCTAGCTCAGAGGAGCACAGAAAGATAAGAATAAACAAGCAAGGTGAAGCCAAATATTCATGGATGTTTTTTCCATCCTCCCCCTTCTCAGTCACCTCATTCCCCTATAGGATCCCAGCATTAACTGGTATGAGCTAAAACAACACTCGGGTTAATAGTTGCATATTGTTTTGCATATAAATATTATAATTGCTGATATTTTTATCTGTTCTCATTATGTCTGCCCCTCCAATCTGTTTTTCCACTAAGCAGCCAGGGTAATCTTTGTAAATTTTATGTCAGAGCCTGTGCCTTCTCTACTCAGAATTCCCTAATCCCTTCCAGTTTTATTTGAAGTAGAGGCCAAAGTCCTCACCATTGCTCTTCCAGTGAAGATTTGGACTTTACCCTACTAGCAATGGAGAGCCAATGGAAAAGATTTGAACTGAGGAATATCTAATAAATCAATGCAGATGGAGCAATATGGATAATCCTCCCATCACTCCTCCCCATCTTTTCTTCAGAGCTCTCTTAAGAACCATCAATAGCAATTCAAAAAGTTTTACCTGTCTATTTGTGAAGCAGGTAAAATTAACATCTCAAGACTCAGGAGTTTGATCAAGTGTTTGGCGCTATAACAGTTTAAATGGTTGGGCACAGGGTAATGTCTGCCTCGGCACTGACTCTGCAAGTGGAATCAAGGCAGCCACAGTGTGAGGAGCATATGCTGCTGGTTGGCTGCCTGGTTACCCTGACTGGGTCCATTAATATAAAGCATAAACAAAGCCTGGATGAATGGAGCTGGCCATTTTGTTGCAACATATGGTGGTGGTGTCCCAGATATTTTTATCCTACTCCTACCCAGATGTTTAGCTTTCCTGACACTCAGTTTTATCTGGCAGGCAAGGTGGTAAAGAATGCCCTTGTGATTTGGGGGAAAAGTATGTTGATTTTTTTTCAGCATGTTGCAGAAAAATAGGTTAGTGGTCAACTAATAAAGCTCCTAAGGCCTTTTAAAAATATTGTTACATTTTTAAATAAACCAGTCAAGCTCTATTCATCATTCTCTCTTTCTCTTTTATATTCCCTTCTTGAAATCCTTAAAACTCAGGCAAAATAAAACATTTATTTTCTCAAAATGGTACATTTAAATCAAATATGATACTTTAGTCACAATTGTTCAGATGATTTGCTTATTTTTCCTCTTAAGTGCCACACTGCTGGCTATAGAGTTCTATTGTGTTCAACAGTAATTCTGAAGAACAACTGTGCATGGAGCCTGCAGATATAGCAGAAAAGATAAGTGTAGGTCTGGCATTTTTTCCCCACCTGATTGAGTTCTTAGGATTGTGTTGAAAATCATGGGCTACCATTGCTCCAAAGATCCCCACGGAGTTTTTGTTCTGATTTTTAGTCTTCCCGAAAGACTGTCCAGGCCTTTCTACTTGCTGAGCACTGAGCAGTCGTGTGTCTTGCCACTTTTGGAGCCCTCCAGGGAAATTAAGAGATGCCCTGGATTTGGCTATTTTTGCCTCATTGGCAAGGTTAGCAGTTATCACTCTCTACCAGATAGCAGAAGAATACAGCTCGCCCTCCCGTAACACCCTGTGAAAGCTCTAGGGTAGGTGAGAAATAAGCAAACATCAAATAGGAAATGGCAGTGCTGAGTATAATAATAACATATATTGTGTCTGCCTGGAATATTTCATCCCAAGATTTTTAAGTGCATTGCCAATATTCTAGCCACTAACCCTAAATGGCAAGTATTATTATCAACATTTTGTAGATGGGGGACCATGAGAGTGCTAGGCAAGACAGAACCCAAACAAATAATATCATAGTTGAAAGATTTGCTAAATTCTCAACTAAACTGCCAGATAAGGAAATTTTAAAAATAAGAAAAGAAGAAAAAATAGTTGTTTAAACCTCTATTTTTATTGAGCCTGAACACAGTCTTCCCATTAGGGTTATTTAACCTTTAGGATTGTCTAATCAAGCATTCGTTCAAGTTTTTTGAAAATTTCTCAGTCCTCATACTCTTTGGGAACAACTGGAAATTTCACAAAGCCAGTCCTTCCTTCCTACTTTAAATGCTTTCTTCTCCTCATTTGCAGGACACCTCGCTCTGCTGGTTTCTCACCAGTAGATCCTCATAAACCTCATCTTCCCAAACTTTAAGTCCTTGGACTACTTCCTTTTACACATATATCCTCTGTGGGCAACATGATAAATATCATCGACTTACATATTATAAAACTACACATATATGTAAGAATATATGTGCATGCACATGTTCTCTCTCCTGCAGTATATCTGCTGCTGAGAGGCAAAACTTCGTCAGGGAGCTTGTCACTCTGAATTCATCTTCAGAGTTAGTAACTATCTAATTTTTTTTCCTTTCAGTTTCCTCTATCTCTCTCTTCTCAACCCACCTCATTTTATAGGAAATCAAAAAGTTAAGATTTATGAACTACAGGCTCTGAAATACTCTCCTTGGCACTTCCATTCTCCTTCCAAACAATCTTCCCACCTCATCCCATATATTATATCAGTAACTCATGAGTTAAAATACCTTTTTGTGTCTCAATTTCTGAAGTATGATATCCAAGCAATGTTTCCTATGGCTCTGTTATTTATAATATGTAAAATATTATATGATGATATATACAAAACATAATATAGAACAGTTGAAAATAATGTAATGTCAAGAGAGATTGTATCCACAATCCAGCTTTTAAATACAGTTATTGAATTATAGTTAACTTTATAACCTAAATGCTATTTGCATAGTAGGTGAAAAAGAAAGTTACAAAAATATATGTACAACATAATCCTATGTGTAAGTGTGTCTGCTGTGTGTAAGTGTGTGTATTTGGAGATATATGTGGTTTAGTAAGTTAAATAATCAACTCTGTATTATGACTTTATTCATTATGCTTTCCTTAATTTTCTACAAGGAACATTTATTATTTGTTACTTAAAACGTATATCCATTCAAGATGAAAATAAATAAACTTATTGATTTTACATTCATTGCTAACATTGGGTCTATTTATTGGTCTTAAAAAGTGTATCTCTTGGGAAAATAATAACTCTCTAAATAGCACTTTTATTTATGGGTTGGTCATTGTTTGGAGTCATTAATCAAGGTTATTTTTGATAAAATGAACATAAAGAGCACAATTATTTTGAGAACTACTGAATCAACCAAAGTATAATAAATCAGGTGATGAAAGTAAAATTGGAAGATTCAAACAGAAGGAAACTGTTAGAGTCTGGGATAACATGAAGATATCCATACATTCATGTAGAGAAGACCAATTTTATACTAAATGTCCTGCAACCAAAATAAAACTGTTTCAGCCCTTGGACAGTGCCTGCCAGTTTTCTGCTAGTCCTACCTTTTCCTAAGTAACAAGTAGTTTTCGGACAGAAACTCCAGTCTTGTCAATGTGTAGTTTTAGCAATACGTTAAGAACCAAAGGGAGAACATGAAATGGCTTCTTTCTTCAAGACACTTAAACTTTTTCAAGAAATAAGTTTTATTACATTGTGGCACAGAACATGTTATAACATTATATACTGTGAGTAACCAGTACATAGGGAGAGATTGGAATGGACTGAAGTAGTTCAGAGGGGATTTCAAGAAGATGATGGAGATTCATCTTTATCTTAAAATACAAATGCAGCAACTTAAAAGGAGAAGTCTTGGGCAGGATGATTAGCAAGAGGCATGTCAAAGAAGAAAAAAAAAATGCATGGCACATGTGGGTGGTTAGGTTAACAGGATATAAGCCCATCAAGGTATCAGTGTTGTGTGGATAGAGTAAAAATTTTAAGTGCCAGCTGATATGAAAATCAAAGAGGTCTGTCTACCTGTCTGAAGTTTTATACCAAGTCACTGGTAGAACCTGTGCTCAAACACCAGTCTCTGTCTTGTTGAGGGTAAGATGAGAATCAAAGGTTGAGGTGGCTGACTTTTCCTTGGGTCCTGACCATAAATCTTTGGAACTAGCCTGCAAGGGTAGGTTGTAGCAAATCTTCAGTACTGCGAGTTATGATAGTGTAATGAGGATGGGCTCAGTCCCTGGAATAGGAAAGTCCTGCGTAGTAGACCCAACTCTACACATATTCAATTTTGTGTCATTGCAAAATGGACATCACATGCTCAAGACTCAGTTACCTTACCTGTAAAATGGGGATAATAGATCTGGTGCTGGTATTGCTATGAGAAAAGCATGATGCGTATGAAGTATTTAATATGGTTCTTAGGGCATTTTAGATATTCCATTTATAACAGATGACAAAACATTTTAACAGGGAGTTTAATATTTGGGGACTTTTAACACCAAAGTTAAGAAAAAGGAAAGAAAGGAGAGGGGAAAAAGAGATGAAGATTAACAGAGGTGGTAGGCATGGGAAAAGAGAAAAGAATGAAAGGAAAAACGCTATACTAAGCATTATGAGAGGCTGGTTGCCTAGCAAGGCAAAATGGACAAACCTCAAAATACCTTATAGTTAAGAATGTCTGATTTTTTTTTTTTTTTTTTGAGACAGAGTCTCGCCCTGTCACTCAGGCTGGGGTGCAGTGGCACGATGTTGGCTCACTGCAACCTCTGCCTCCTGAGTAGCTGGGATTACAGGCACGCACCACCACGCCTGGCTAATTTTTGTACTTTTAGTAGAGACAGTGTTTCACCATGTTAGCCAGGCTGGTCTTGAACTCCTGACCTCGTGATCCACCCACCTGAACCTCCCAAAGTGCTGGGATTAGCCTGGCTGATTGTTCTTTTTTTTTTTTTTTTTTAAAGTACAATGTGCTTAATTTATTTTTTTTTTTTTTTTTTATTATACTTTAAGTTTTAGGGTACATGTGCACATTGTGCAGGTTAGTTACATATGTATACATGTGCCATGCTGGTGCGCTGCACCCACTAACTCCTCATCTAGCATTAGGTATATCTCCCAATGCTATCCCTCCCCCCTCCCCCCACCCCACCACGGTCCCCAGAGTGTGATATTCCCCTTCCTGTGTCCATGTGATCTCATTGTTCAATTCCCACCTATGAGTGAGAATATGCGGTGTTTGGTTTTTTGTTCTTGCGATAGTTTACTGAGAATGATGATTTCCAATTTCATCCATGTCCCTACAAAGGACATGAACTCATTTAATAAATGGTGCTGATTGCTCTTTATTTGACGTAACATCACATATTAGTTAGATTGATTTGTGGTAATAGAAGGCAAGGTTGTCAGTAATTGGGACTTCAATTAAAAATATATATATGTAGAAGAAAGGTATAAAGAAATTTCTGTGCTGACCAGCCAGCCACAGTCAAAGTCTCTTTTGCCAGTTCCAGAAAACTGCAAAGCTTTCTATTCCTTTAGGAAGACAATTGTATCTATGTAAGAGAAGTTCAAATGGGTTCGTCTGACCATGTAAATCTTGCCGTTCCTTTACTCACTGTGCCTATTGTAGCATCTAGTGTTGCTTGAAAGATTGTAGGTTTTTGTCAATAACTCTTTCACTGTGCTTCAAACTACACTGCTTTTCCATCAGAAAACTTTCTTCTAGGACATGAATAATCCTTCACCAATCTTCTATACTGCTTTTCCATCAGAAAACTTTCTTCTAGGACATTAATAATCCTTCACCAACTTTCTCCTAGAGCAACCCCCCCCATACGTGCACTTTTCTTCCTTCTGAGATTCCTTATCAGTGCCCCCCTACTGCACAGTGATTTTAAGCTAACTCCTCTGATGTGAAAACTGAGAAAAATCTTTCTGGAATGTTTTTGAAGCTTTGATTGATGTAAAGCCCAATAAAAGCACAGCTGGAATTGGAGATACCAAGCTCTGCTTTTTGGCTCAGCATCGAAGAGAAGGAGGTGGTAGCAAGCTTTGTTTGGTCTTGAATGTGAAGGCAAAGCCAAGATGAAGCAGGGTGCCATTTGTTAAAATACTTTGGAATAATAACTGCGCTTTGAAACTAATGAGAATAATGTTTAGATTAATAGCTTAGGTCATATTTCATGTATTATATTTAACACTGGAGAAAAAGAGCAAAAGGAGAAAGTTGGGATACCCTTCAAAAATCTATGCACATCACTAATCAAAGAATCAATTTTAGTGTTCTTGCAAAAATGCAATAAATGCTGGCTAAAATCTCCTATGGTGCATCCCATTTCTTCTATAAACTTTTTCTTATCTTTAAAATTTGGATCAGATTACTTTTTCTAAATATGTATTTCAAAGAGATTCTTAAAACTCTTTAAAGATGAAAAGTCATAGAGCATTTTGAGGCTCTGAAGAGTATCATATATTCTCACCTTTAGAAATCCACATACCCTTACATGTTTTGTTTTGTTTTTTTTTTATTATTATTGCACCTGATTCAAAAGATTTTGGAGATCCATGATGAATCCTTAGGTCAATGAACACTAGTCTAGGAGTTCTTAGTCTAAAAGAAGTCAATGTTAAACTAAGTCAAATGTGAATGAAACTAAGTTTACATACCTCTTAAGATGGATGCAAAGAGTAAATAAGTGAAAGGAGTTTAACAGTTCATCAGGGCCAGGCGCAGTGGCTCAAGCCTGTAATCCTAGCATTTTGGGAGTATGAGGCGCGTGGATCACTTGAGGTCAGGAATTCGAGACTAGCCTGGCCAACATGGTGAAACCTCATCTCTACTAAAAATATAAAAATTAGCTGGGCATGGTGGCAGATGCCTGTAATCCCAGCTACTTGGGAGGCTGAGGCAGGAGATTTGCTTGAACCCAGGAGGCGGAAGTTGCACAATGCCTGAAACTTAATAAATATTAGTAGTGCTATTTTGTTATTGTTATCACTATATCTACTTTCTTAATACCATTACAGGATTTGGAAAAGTTAAATTTTGAAGAACAACATAATCTTTAATTTTATGAAATAAAACCACCCAATTTTCCAACAATTATTTAAGACTTTCATTAATAAGTGTAGGCAATTCTTTCTACTTTTTAGAAATGTATTTACTAAATATGAGTAGCCTACTCACAAAACATCCACTCCTGACTTCAAGCCCTTTTAAGTATATGGGAACAGAGCTCTTAAATTGGATTTCATTTCAACTATATTTTCTTAAGTTCTCAAATGATTATTTTTTCATGTTTGCTCCTTGATATCTGCTGACTGTACCAAGACCACTGGAAAATAGTTTCTGTTTATACTAATTATAAATGACTGAGCTAAGAGTGAGGAATGCTGTTCATATCATTTACTCCATGTATGACTTTATTCAAGCAACTTGCTAGTTAAGGGAAGGGAGTTTTCTGCTCATGTTGCTAGAACTACAGTAGCAAGAGATATGTTTCTCAATTCTACAAGCGAGAGATATAAATGCATTTTATAAATGCCAGGAAACACTTACATAAACAGCAGCTAGTTTCTATAAAGTACTTGACTTCCAGCTAGATGGGAAATCTTACCATCACTCGTAAGTTATTTTCTAAAATAATATTATGTCAGAGATAGAGCTTAGAGATCAGCTTTTCCAAATGAACTCATTTTACAGATGGGAAAACTGAGACTAAGGATAATATATTTGCCAAAGCCATGTAACAAGTCTTTAGCAAAGTTATAAAATCCTTTTGGAATTCTAAGCCAACTCTTCAATACTGCAATTCTTTTATAATCAAAAAAAAGTCCTGTGTAGCCGCTTAGGGAATCAAGATTGTCTAATCCAAGGCTGACAATTAACATCCTTTGAGTAGGAATATAACAGTAGTTCAGAAACAAACAAAAAAAAAATTTAAAGAATTTATTTTATTCCTGGGTACAGACAGGGCTGGTATTCATAGGATTCTGTTATACAGATATTAACTTGAATTTTATTTTTTAGAAGGAAGCAATTCTTGAGAATAAAGCCTTTCTGATTCAGAATGCCTTATAAAACATTTCAGTGATTTTCGACTCCTCATAATATATTTGTTAAATTTTCTTTTAATCTAATAATTTTTGAAAGAAGCATAGAGACTTTATAGGTTTAAGACAAGTCATTCTCCCTGAGAATTTTTCGGGCTTTTGTGGGTTTTTGTTTTGTTTTGTTTTGTTTTTTGGGTTTGGTCTTTTGTTTTTTTAAGACAGTCTCACTCTGTTGCCCAGGCTGAAATGCAGTGACACAATCATGGTTCACTGTAGCCTCAACCTCCCAGACTCAAGTGATCCTCCCACCTCAGCCTCCCAAATAGCTGGGACTACAGGCATATACCACCACATCTGGCTAATTTTTTTGTATTTTTTGTAGAGACAGGGCTTCACCATGTTACCCACTCTGGTTTCGAATTCCTGGCCTTAAGCAATTCACCCGCCTTGACTTCCCAAAATGCTGGGATTACAGGCGAGAGCCACTGTGCCTGGCCTACCTGAGAATTTGTGATTCAGCTTTATTTTATTTTTTGAGACAGAGTTTCACTCTGTTTGCCCAGGCCAGAGTGCAATGGTGCAATCTTGGCTCACTGCAACCTCCACCTCTGGGATTCAAGTGATTCTCCTGCCTCAGCCTCCTGAGTAGGTGGGATTGCAGGTGTGCACCACCATGCCTGGCTAAATTTTTTTGTATTTTTAGTAGAGATGTGGTTTCATGACATTGGCCAGGCTAGTCTCAAACCCCTGACCTCAAATGATCCACCCACCTCAGCCTCCCAAAGTGCTGGGATTACAGGCGTGAGCCACCATGCCCGGTCCTCAACTTAATTTTTTTAAAGGTGAAGTTTCTTTTATTTTTCTCCATCCCAGATTATTTTGGACCATTCTCTGCCCCTTGCCAACCCTCTATATTATTATGAATACTAGGCTTACTCATGTTTTTCCTGTCTCTTCTGTATATCCACTTTGTGATACATACTGCCATGTTTTTACTTAAATATCTCAGAAGGTGATTCTAAATGCAAAATTTTAGTAAGTTATATAAGCATTCCAGTACAGAAACCAATTCACCTGGTAGACAGAAAGCACAAGTCAGATGTCAGAAAGAAGGAAAAAACTTGACCAGAAAAAAGAGAATCTGCTGCTAGAAATGGAGTGAGATTTGAGTCAGTACAGGTCGGAAACGGAAAGAAGGTCTTTCAGAAACTAAGAAGAGCAGGAAATTTAAAACATTCCTTATATGTGTCTTGTTCACTTATTCATTCATTCAACAAATATTTCTTGGACAAACTTCTCTATACCTGGAACTATTCTAAGTATTCAGGATACATTCATGAACAAAATCAACAACATCCCTGCTTTTAAAAAGCTTTCCTTCTAGAGTACAGAGATAGATGATCAAATATACACTTAATAAATAAATAAAGTATATAGTATCTCAGAGGCTGATAAATGCTAAGGAATGAAGCACCAGAAGATCGGTAGCTGCAGAGCTAAGTGAACTGGTCAGAGTAGGCGTTCTTGATAAGATGATATTTGAGCAAAGATTTAATGAGACTGAGGGAGATAGCTATGCATGTCTAGGGACAGGGCATCCCAAGTGGAGCAAACAGACCACACAAAACCCTAAAGGTGCAAGCACAGATGGGATTAAAAAAAAAAGTGGCTGGATCAAAGTGAGGAATATGAGAGTTGTAGGGTAGGAGGCCATAGAAGTAACTGTGGCTGGCCAGGCGCGGTGGCTCACACCTGTAATCCCAGCATTTTGGAAGGCCAAGGTGGGCAAATCATGAGTTCAGGAGATCGAGACAATCCTGGCTAACATGGTGAAACCCCGTCTCTACTAAAAATATAAAAAATTAGCCGGGCATAGTGGCATGCAACTGTGGTCCCAGCTACTCAGGAGCCTGAGTCAGGAGAATCACTTGAACCCAGGAGGAGGAGGTTGCAGTGAGCCAAGATCGCGCCACTGCACTCCAGTCTGGGTGACAGAGCGAGACTCTGTCTCAAAAAAAAAAAAAAAAAAATGCAACTGACTTATTCTTGTTATCACCAGCATTAAACACAGTATACAGTACTTAGCATAGAGTTGGTGTTCAGTGCATGCTAGACGAACAAGTGAATAAACAAGTGGAAGTATGAGCAGAATTTAGCAGCATTTCCTACCATTTAAATGAGACAAGTGGGTGGAATGGAATTACATCTATGGCCTAAGACAGCTAAATATCAGTGAATTAGATTTGTTTTAATTTTTTCTGACATGAGAAAGAGTTTAGACAATAATTTAGTTGTTCCAGTGTTTTATGTCATGAGACAAGACAATTAGTGTCACTATATCTGATCTGGTTATTTCATGCTTGTTTCATTTTCCTTTCCACTATTTTCATTTGCTCCTCCGTTTATGGCTCTATTCACTTCGACTCCCATTTCTCTTCCATTCTTAACTTCTTACCCAATGGGTAGTCTGTGCTTGTGGAACTGGCAATGTGTAGCAAGTCTACAAAGTCCTGGATTAACACCAGCAGAATTTCCAGATAGAGCTGAGATCATAAGAGGCAGGTAGAAAGACTTATACTGCATTGTGTTGAACCTTTGTAAGGCTAACAGCAAGGACGCAAACAAAATTTCCTCCAGTCATCAAAAATACCTCATCCCTTTCTATTCATCTCAGTGTGTCCTGGCAAGAGTGTGCATATCCCCCTGCTGGCTAACCTCATGTAGAGGCTGATCCTTTTATAGATTTTTAACTTATCTGCAATTAACTTCATAAAGCAACCTCTAGTCCAGATGTTTCAGCATAATGAAAAAGGGGGGAAATGATTGGATTTTACTAGATCTCTTGGGGTCTTAAATCCTGATATGATTTAACATCCCCCACAAACCTACCCACCATAAGGGTTCTTTTTTTTTTTCCCCACAAAGATGAGACTTCATTTCTCTTCTGAAAGTAAAGTTAAAATGACCTTGAAATGAGCTGGAGGTTTTGTACACCTCGGTAGCATTTGGAGAATGAATTCTGTACTTCTCTCTACCACCACCTGCAAGAGGAAGCAGAGACCAAATATCTAACTGGAACATCTGTTTTCTAAGATTGCTTTTTGACATTTGTTATTATTAGATTAATGCTTACTCATTAGAAAAACAAAAACAGACACATACTATATAAAAGACTAAATTAAAACGTCGAAGTCCCAAACCCAACCTCACTTTTCCTCAGAGGCTTTCAGTGTTAAAAGTTTGGAGTGAATTATCCAAAAAATATTTTGTGCCTAGTCAAATATACATATAATTTTTAATGCATTCAAACCATGTACATTTGGCTGCATTTATTCACTTGACATCATTCCATATTGTTACACGTGGAGCTGCTTCATTCTTTCTCATGATGGCATAGTATTGCTTAGGTGAACACACTGTAAGATATTTAGCTGGTCTTTTCTTGATGTTGTTTCCACTTTATTAGTATTGCAAATTATGCAAGAAATCCCTGCGCATACATATTTGTTTATTAAAATATATTTTAAAAACTTTTTTACTATTTCTTTGAAAATAACTGTAAAGGAATCTGTAAGAAATAACTGCAAAACAATTCTTATTTCATGAGGCCCTAAAAATAGAGGTGGGTTATCTTTAATCATTTTGTTTTCTTTTTAGAGAAGAGGAAAATTGTGGTAAGCTGAAAGTTTTTAAGGCTCTTCAATATAGAGAAAAAATACATGAAAATATAACTCCTCTTCAATTTGGAGTTTCATTTATAGCTCTGCTTTCATCAAAAGATCCTTGTTAGTTCACGCTTCACTAAAGTACCAGTCTTGAAAGAGGTAGTGAAATGCATTTCCAGGTTTCTCAGAGCAGATGTCCCAACTTTTATGAAGGCCATTTAAGTATTATGGATCTACACAAAGCTTAAATAAGGTGATTTCTATGACTCTGTATGATGTATTTACCTTCCTGCTTTGTGAAGCCCACCATAGTCTGACATCACCTTGCTAGTCAATTTTATCCCCCTGGTAAATGTTTAACAATTGGTATATATGTATACCATATACATATACATGAGTTTTTATAAATTTTACTGATATAAAGGATATGGCGCATACCATATAAAAGGTATGTATACATCTTCATCATATAAAATGATTTATAATTATTAATGAAATATACAATACACTTTATTCCAAATAACTAATAGATTCTTCTGTAATGCTCTTACTGATTTTTACTAATTTTTGCTTAACTCTTGTATTCATAGCCTATTTATCTTTGCAATGGAAATGAGTGTAGTTCCAACATTGGTTAATAATTTTTTACCTAAACAAGCAAGACAAAAGGGAAACAGTGAAAACCTATGTGAGGACATGATCTGTGTGAAGACATGATCATTAAGAACATGAACAGCCGGACGCGGTGGCTCACGCCTGTAATCCCAGCACTTTGGGAGGCCGAGGCGGGCGGATCACGAGGTCAGGAGATCGAGACCATCCTGGCTAACACGGTGAAACCCCGTCTCTACTAAAAATACAAAAAATTAGCCGGGCGTGGTAGCGGGCGCCTGTAGTCCCAGCTGCTCGGGAGGCTGAGGCAGGAGAATGGCGTGAACCCGGGAGGCGGAGCTTGCAGTGAGCCGAGATGGCGCCACTGCACTCCAGCCTGGGCGACAGAGCGAGACTCCGTCTCAAAAAAAAAAAAAAAAAAAAAAAGAACATGAACAACTGACTTCCTTTTCACATTCAAATAACACCGTTTATATCCTGGAGGACAATTCCTCAATTCTATGTGCTATTCGCAGTGTAATGACTACAGACATGATGCACATTTAAGTTTAATCTGTGTTATCACTTTCTTAAATCTAGAAATAAAACAATAAGTTAAATGTGACTTTTAGCATTTGGTGACACTCACATCATAATAGACTTGAAGTTACCCAGGTGACCTTACTGAACAAAGAATTGGGAAGAGATGTGAACTCTCATACTGTTATATATCACTTCCGCCAAGCAGACAAAATAGACATAGGTAATAGTAAAACGTATTAATTACAAAGTGATGAGTTTTTAATGTGTGCTAACTTTGTTTTTAACACTATTTATTTAATTTAAATTTATTTAATTTAATTTTTAATCATGCTGTATTCAAAAACTGACTCACAACATTTTTGGAAATTTAATTACTGGATTTATGAGCCAGTGCAAGTAGCTCAGCTCACTACTGGTTTATATCTCATCACTTTCCAAAGTGTAAAATCTATTATATTAAGAACTGTCCCTCAATGCCCAACAAGGCTGATGGCCAAAAAGAATTTTAAGTTTCAGTCATGCAAACATTAAATAATTTGCTTTTTTTTTTTGTAAAATGAGTATAACGGGCTTAAGTACCTTTAAAGTAAGAGAAAAGAATGACTGATACAGTTTTCGTAGAACTTGGGATTCTAGCAAAACTCTGTTATTCACCTTCTTTTATAGACCAAGTTGAAATTACTAGCAAAGGAGGACAGTTATCCCATGCAAAGATGTGTTGTAACTTCTAATAAGAAATCAACGTTGAACATGACAATGTGTTCAGCTAATAAGTGGTTTTTGGAGTTTAATTTAAACTTATTTCAAAATTTTACATTTTTCTTCCAGGATCAGAAAAAAAATGTAAAATAAAAAAACTCCACTTTTTAAGAAATATTCAAATAATGCAGCTGTGGTAGATTCATCTCCCAGTATTTTGTCCTGTCACCTCTCACCAATGTACCTTTGATCACTAAGTTCTACCTCTTGTCTCTTCAATTACGTAGGGGACAAGAAGCACCCCCTTTCCTCCGTGTTACTGGAACACTTCATTTCTTGTGATGGTTATTACGGTGAGGACTTATAAATTTTATTACTTATTCCTATTTCTCTTCTAGGAAATGTATTTTTCTTCAACTAGATCTTCAGGAACTAAACTCTTTATATATTTTTAGTTTGAATATCCAATTGAAAGTGAATTAGCATTAACTGGGCAGAATTTACCTAGCTAGAGACTAAGGAGCGTATTTCCTGCAGAACTAGGACAATCACTGAAACAGTGGGCTTGCTTTGGGGTAACACGGTTTCAACTCCGCAAGGAGGATGACTTTGCAGTTCCTCCACAGCATTTTGCTTTTTATGTTTTCATTTAATGGTGTGACATCCTATGACAATTATCATTATTTTTGGTCCAATTTTCCCTCTGAAGCAGCTTTGACACAGATCAATGCATCTCAGTGTCGGTTTTTATGGAGCTGCAACATCAGAAACTGACAGCTGGAAATCTTAATTGGTCCAGTGACAGAAAATATAATGACTGCTCACAGTGACTTATTTTATCTGACCTTGTGTTTAATTCAAAGGGAAATTTTAATCTCACTACTGGAAAAGAAAAAGTTGTGGGTCGATGAGTGGGGCAGATCAGCCAGAGAAAGGCCTTTCATTTGGAAAGAAATTACTACTAGTTGTAGGACTGTTACCAAATTAGGGTTTAAGTGCTGGTCTTGAATGATGGATACCAAGGGTCTCCATGCCTATTTGAACTGCCAACCATTCTGCTGTGCCTGTCATTACAAATGGCAGCAGGCACTGAATGCAGCATGGAAGGTTGCCCACAAGCGACTGGCTGGAGGCCCTATTACAAAGGCCACCAGACAGCTGTCAGACAGACTGGCATTTGATCATTACTGACTTGGTCCAGAGCCCAGTGACTTTGACCCAAAGGCAAAACGTTCCCTATAATACCACCCAAATTGTCTAATACTTGTGCTCCTGGAGAGAAAGCTATTTCTAGAATAAGAACATCAGATCTGTCCTATTGAATTCAGCTATTAAACTAAGATTTCAACTGTCTTATTCATAGTTAAACACTGGTATATCAAGAAAGTATTAAATCCCCAACACCTTTGGTTCATCTTGGGCAAAGATGTATCAGAGAGAAGGAGATGGTATGAAGTGAAAAAAAATGCTGGACTTAGATTGAGAAGATAGCTATGAGCTCCATTTCAAGGTTTACCTAATTCACTGGATACTTATGAGAACTAAATGGCAAATGCATATTTAAATGCTTGATTAACTTGATGATGACCATGAGGGTGACAATGATGATAGCCATGGTAGTGTTAATGGTGGTGAGTTAAATGTTTTTATTCTACAAACATGTTAATAGTTCTTATCATATAAAAGATACCAGGGACACTGTTGGCCAAGGATGTAGTATGTCATAGTTAAAAGCATTGACTTTAACATTTGAACAAAAAAGTAAAATAACAGCCTGGCTCAAAATTCTGGCTCCAACACTCATGAGCTGGCAAGCCATAGTTTCTATATCTATAAAGTTAGTACTCACTCCATTCAGGTTGTTTATGTTACTTTCAATTTAGTAAGCATTGAATTAGTGCATTCTTTAGGAACTCATTCACCAGATTGACACTAAAGAGTGTTACACTCAGTTTCTCTGCCAGATGTGTCTTTGTGTTAGTCCCCCAAGAAGAAAAACCAAGATTCAATTTTTTTTAAATAAAGGACTTTAGAACAAATGGAGATAGAGTTCAGAGCAAGACGGGAAGAATGATAAGACAAGGATGTAAGTCTGGCCTTGGATGATGGAGAGACGTGAGGGAAGTTGGGTGGAAAAGTCCTGGTTTGCCATAAAGACTAAAGATTCAGCAAGGCTGTCAGGGAGTTCTTGAGACAAAGTTGGCTGTCAGAGGGGTCTGTTGTCTTCCAGAGGCAGGCCTGCTATGCTCAAACACTGGCTGGAAGAACCTTGAGGGAAAACATGGCCTCAGTACAATTGTGGTGATCGATTTCAGAGCACAGCAGCTGGGTCCCTTGGTCAATTAAGCTCTCTGAAGTCTGAGATCTGTGAAGCTTTCTAACGGTCACCACCAACTATTTGCCTTTGCATACTGTGATTGCTTTCAAACTGTAATTATTCATTCCTTTCATTTAATAATACATCTATTCATAATATTTGCTAGAATGCCCCAGGTGTTGGCTAATGTTTACTGCCTATCTGTTTACACCTTTTGAAGGTTTTCTGCTCTTCATAAGTAGTTAATAAGTAAAATTCACCTCCTTCACTTATCTATCCTCCCCAAAGAGTAGATTCATCAGAAGTTCACCAAATATCTGGACCTGGTGCTTCATTCTTCAACCTTTTGAGATGCTCACTTCCTGTAAGGAACAATTGCTGCTCTACTGGGAAAATCCAACATTGATATAGGACCATAGTGCCCATCTGGCCTTCATGGCACCTGCCCCTTGTGCCTTCTATTAGGTACAGCCTTTTGGTGGAGCCTATCAATTTTTTTAACCATTTATTCCCCTCTATTGGTGAAAAGCAAAGTTTCCCTCAAGTGTCATTTTTATTCAGCACAAAGAACTTCATTTCACATTTCTTGTACAGCGGGTCTTCTGGTGATCTTTTCTTAGTTTTCTTTCATCTGAGAGTATCTTGATTTTACTTTTATTCCTGAAGGATATTTTTGCTCAATATAAAATTCTAGATTGACAGTTCTTCTCTTTCAGTATATTAATTAAATATGTTGTTCCACTATCTTCTGGTATTCACAGTTTCCAATGTGACTTCTGTAATAATTCAAATTATTGTCTCCCTGGGATGTGCCATTTTTCTCTAGCTGCCTTAAATAATTTTTTATATTTAGATTTCAACAATTTGATTATGATTGTCTAAGCATAGTTTTTGTTGAGTATATCTTTCACCAAATTGGGAGAATTTCCAGCCGTTATTTTCTCAGTATTTTGAGAAATATTTCTCAAATATTTTTTCTGCACCAATCCCTTTTTCTAATTCTGGAACTTCAGTGACACATATTTTAGGCCTTTTGACATTTTCTTACAGTTTTCTGAGTTCTGTCATTTTTCTTTCTTTCTTTCTTTTCTTTTTATTTTAAGTTCCAGGGTACAAGTGCAGGATGTGCAGGTTTGTTACATAGGTAAATGTGTGCCATGTTGGTTGGCTGCACCTATCAACCCATCACCTAGTTATTAAGCCCAGAGTACATTAGCTATTTATCCTGATGCTCTCCCTCCCCCTATCCCCCGACCACCAGGCCCAAATGTGTGTTGTTCTCCTACCTGTGTTCATGTGTTCTCATTGTTTAGCTCCCACTTACTAAGTGAGAACATGTGGTGTTTGGTTTTCTGTTCCTGCATTAGTTTGCTGAAGATAATGGCTTCCATAATGGCTTCCAGCTCCATCCGTGTCCCTGCAAAGGACATGATCTCACTCCTTTTTATGGCTGCATAGTATTCAATGGTGTATGTGTACCCCATTTTCTTTATCCAGTCTATCATTGATGGGCATTTGGGTTCATTCCGTGCCTTCGCTATTGTGAATAGTGCTGCAGTGAACATACGTGTGCATGCATCTTTGTAATAGAATGATTTATACTCCTTTGAGTATATACCCAGTAATGGGATTGCTGGCTAAAATGGTATTTCCGGTTCTAGGTCTTTGAGGAATCACCACAGTGTCCTCCACAATGGTTGAACTAATTTACATTCCCACCAACAATGTAAAAGTGTTGCTTTTTCTCCACAGCCTAGCCAGCATCTATTGTTTCTTGACTTTTTAATAATTGTCATTCTGACTGACATTAGATGGTATCTCATTGTCGTTTTGATTTGCATTTATCTAATGATCAGAGATGATGAGCTTTTTTTCATATGTTTGTTGGGTGCATAAATGTCTTCTTTTGAGAAGTGTCTGTTCTTTTCCTTTGCCACTTTTTAATGGGGTTGTTTGTTTTTTCTTGTAATTTTTTTAAGTTCCATGTAGATTCTGGATATTAGACCTTTGTCTTTCTATAAATAGATAGATTGCAAAAATTTTCTTCCACTCTGTAGGTTGCCTGTTTGGAGCCTGTCAATATTCTTGTCCCACCTTTCTTGATCACATATTTGCTTCTGTGTCAACAAGGACTGGTTTTTACTAGTGGAAGACACAGACTTTGTTTTGTGTAGGAAGTTTACAGCTGTCTGCCTTTGCTCTTTCACCAAGGGAAAGTCAAAGTGAGGAAAGTAATCAAATGATTCAGACATCAGAATTTATTCTGAAAGGTGCTGGCATTATTACTACACATTACAACAACATTGGCTCTGCGTGATACCAGACTCGTGATTCAAAGTGGAATTAGATTTGGCTTTTACCATTTTTGCGTAGCAGATAAACCCTAACCCATACTTCACTCCCTCAGAGTCTTGCTATTTCCTGAAATGGAGATCATTTCATCATTTTAGGAGGAGGCTTCTTCCAGGCACAGAGTGTACTTCTCAGAAAGGCTTGTTAAAAGAAAGAATGAATAAATAAATGGATGAATGAGTGAGCTTATTTGAGGAATTTGGTGCTTTGAAATTACATGTTTTGGCCAGGCATGGTGGCTCATGCTTGTAATCCCAGCACTTTGGGAGGCCGAGGTAGGTAGATCACTTGAAGTCAGGCAGAGGTGGGCAGATCACTTGAGCCTGGCCAACATGGTGAAACTTAGTCTCTGCTAAAAACAAAAAAAAAATAAAAAATTAGCTGGGCAAGGTGGCAGACACCTATAATCCCAGCTACTTGGGAGGCTGAGGCAGGAGAATCACTTATACCCAGGAGGGAGAGGTTGCAGTGAGCCGGGATCATGCCACTGCACTCCATCCTGGGCCACAGAGCAAGACTCCATCTCAGAAAAGAAATAAATAAATAAAAAAAAAATCATGTCTCTCATATTTTATGTTTCCTCTGTGATATAAAAGAGAAGTTTTAGGTATTGAGTTCGTTTATTGCCAAACAGTCCCCAGAATAATCAAACCATACTACGGGAAAACTGGAAAGAACACACATCACCTGTTCTATTTTATTCAAAAAACTGAGTACTGAAGGGAAGTGACTGGACCAAGGTCATATAGCTAATGAAACAAAGTCTATCTCTTGCCTTCCTATCTATTCTCTTTTAACTAAACCATGCTGCTTTCCTTTTTCACTTTTTATTGTTCATTTGAAAAGGGACATTCACTGGTTCTCAAAGTATACACAAACCTCATTTGAACATTCCATAATCCATTCAAAGTCATGAAGGCATAGTGAATCTTCCAAAGAAAACTCATCAAGTCATTCATTTATTCATTCATTCAACAAATACTGAGAGCTTATTGTATATACTATGGGCTAAGAATATAGTAGCACATTAAGCAGATTCCTTCCCTATTGGGGTTTACAGTCTAGTTCCTGTTCAGAAAAAGTGGTCCATTTATGACTGTTATTCACTGGCTATGTAACCTTGAGTGAATTTCTTAATTCCCTATTTTCTTGTCTGAATAAGGAAGCCAGTAAATCTCACTTTGCCTTATTGTTGGGAGGACCAAAAAGGTAATGTCAGCAAGTCACTTAGTGCCAGGTACAAAATCATAAATTGATACAGGGTGGTTTTTGTAATAATTAATTCTGAGTATTCCAGTTTCACTCATTTTAGCACCATCATTTTTCCCTTTCCAAGAGATGCAGAATGACGTAAGTTGAAGCTCTACCCTGTGTAATCAGTATCTGCTTACTAACTTCCAGCCATACTGACTGTCTTTCTGTTCCACAAACATTCCTAGCTCCTTCTTCCTTTAGGACCTTGGTATCTGACCCTCTGCCTGGAGCATCTCTCCCTCCCAACCCCCATCTTGATCCCCTACTGCTTTCTCATCTGCCTCTACTCCTGCTCATCTTTTTATCCCAGTTTAATTATCACTTGGCAAGACGTTCTAACTTCCCAGGCTAAGTTAAATCATTCTTATACATTCTTACAGCTAGGGCCAGATACATAATTTGTAGAGCCCAGTGCAAGATGAAAATATTTAACCCATTGTTTAAAAAAGTAAAACAAAAGCATTGTTGAAGGTATTGAATTATGAAGGTTTTCCCTCTCTTTCTCTGCCTCTCTCAGCCTGTCATGGTGGGTTTGTTGCTGTTGTTGTTATTTATTGTTGTTCTGAGTAAAAATAAAATACAATTTTAAATTATAAACATGGATTTTAACATAATCTTTATATTGCATAGTACACGTTTTAACTTCAAATATAAAAGCATTTAACACGTGCAAAAATAAGAGTTATAATTTCTATTTCATAGCTCATACATGCGTATGCATTTCATTCTCATCAGATTAGTGGCAATGTTGCACAAAGCTAACTTCAGTGCTTTTATTTCCTTTCTTGATAGGCACACATTCTATCCACACTCTCTACTTTCAGCCTTACTGATTGATAAGGAAAGATTGAAAGGAAAAGGAACTATGGGTTAACCTATCTCCACTTTGCTTCAAGGCCATCATTTTCTGCATAAGTGGCTAGCTGGTACAGGGAAGTAACATGAGCAAGAAAAATAAGACAAGGCTCCTCAGTTATTCATATTTCTTTCTATGTCATTACCCTTTTTCTACATTCAAAGTGAGTTCTGGTTAGAACATAAGGTGTTGCCTCTAAGGCCCATCAGTACGCTAGTTTACCCAGTCATTGTGTAACATACTTATCTTTAACTCATTTTTAGTCTCACTGAACTCTCACATATTGCAGGTCTGCTGGAATTCTGTGCTACACATGAATGGGGCAGCAAGGAAGGGTGGACACTCATACTGCACTATCTCCTCTCCCCATGCACGTGTTCCATTGCACCACCGCATGTCACTTACAAAACACAATTTCAAAGATAAAATTAGGATTATCAAGATAGCAATGAGAGAGCATTAAACCAAGCCATTGGCTCTTCTGAGCATGAGCTTGTATGTGACTACACAAATTCTATACTGGTGAATCTGGCTCTTGTTATGGCGCTCTGAACTTTTCCACTAAAGTTCTTATATTGTAATTATATATGCATAAAGGTGTTTAACATATGCCTCCATAATTAAGCCACAAACGGCACGAGGTCAGTGATTTTATACTTCTCATTCACCTCTCCTCAGTAAATGTCTTTGAGTATATGAAGCAACAGATGGAATACATGGCTGGGCAGACTAGGAGTTTAAAATCTTCATAAACAGAGTTTCAAAAAGTGTCTTGAAATTCATGATGGGAGTTAATATTTATGTGTATAATTAGAATTTGTAAGTAGTTTCCATAGCTGTTTATTCCGCTCCTCGTGGGGTTTTGTTTCTCCTTCTAATTCTGTCTGCTCTGCTTGATCAAACCTTAGTTATAAAAAGAATCAATAGGAGTTCCATCCCTTCGGAGAGAAGATCCCTTCTTCTCCTCTTCTGGTTGTGTCTGTGCATGTTAAGGAATACATGAATTAGATGCTTAAAGAAAGAAGCTTTTCATTTTATTAATAATAGAGTTTCACATGAATCAAGTTCCAAAAGGGAATGTTTCTTCTATTTTTATAGGTCTTTTTTTAAATTAGCCACACAAAGAAAAAGAACAGTTCATTTAACTGTGTCAAAGCCAATAGAGATTCACTGCTATTTACTTTCTTTTGTATAAATTTTAATGCATTTTTAATTCCACAACACTGGTTGGCAAACCAACCATTACAGTTACTGCTGCCCTATAATGCATTTCAGTCCTTTCTAATAAGCCTAAACTTTAAGATGGCTTATCATTATCTCTGTAAGCTACTGGAAATGGATTCCCTCCCTGAACTGATGGGTCCTGCAGCACTCTTGCTAATGAAAGTGGATTTGGAAATACTATTCAAATAAACAGAACCACTGAGATTTTTTTTTTAGCCAAAAATAATGTTCAGCAAAATCTGTAATCTCACATTCTGACCTTCCTTGCAGAAGTTATTCATTTAAATACCAATCCTCTCGTTCCTAGTGCCTGTGCTTTCTTTCTTTTACAACACGATTTTAAAGGAAGCCATCCAGTCATGTAAGTCTAGAATTTCTATGAACTTTAAATGTAAAATGAAACATTTAAAGACAAATATGATTTCATCATCTTTTAGCCATAAAAGAATAGGCACATTTTATATGTAAATATTGTTGCAGAATCATCTGTGTAGAGTCAAAAAAATGTGTTTAGATCTAGTATTTATACAATAGATTGACACAAAATGATGAAAATTGTGCATAATTCTTAGACTTTAAATAACATTAAAATTCACCATTTAAAGGAGAGAATCAAGACCTTGGGATTGAGAAGACTGAATTTTGGTCAGTAGTTCTGCCACTGATATGATTTACTATTGATTCAAACGTAGTTTTGGCATATATATCAAGAGTTTCATGATAAAGAAGACGAACATAATTTCTGATCCTGGGAAAGTTTCAAGTAGGGTCAGTGATTTAAGCAAGTTACTTTTCCATTCTGGGCTTTTCTGGCTTTGAAACAACATTCACTTCATTACATAAATATCTTCTGCATATTTATTAGAGAATGTCCAAGTGTTACAATTCACACAGAAGTAGATTTTACGTAACTGCTAATTTGAAGGAGCTGATATTCCACACATAATTAGTTATGAAGGTAGAATATATGAAGCACCACAGGGACGTTTAGCTAACATGCCATGAGAATGAGAAGTGAAAAGAGGGTTTGGATAGTGAAATCATGACTCCCTTGAGGGGACAACCTTTGAATGAGGCCGTGAGAGATGTAAAAGATTTACAAATGTTGAGATGTGGGAAAATGAGAATGTTAAGCAGAGAGGGTAGAAGAATACTTCAGGCAGGGAAGACTTAGGGCAGCCATATAAAACAATCCCATTTGGCCGAGTGTAAGGTGTGTGAATGCATTGTATCCTCTCCTCTTTCCTTTGATTGCCTTGTCTGATGCAGTCCAAAGATTGTCATCTTGATGGAGCTTCCTCTTCTTCCTGCTAGGCCTTTCCATGAAAAAAACCAATCACCTTCTGCTATGCACCCAGCTTAGCACTTGATGAACCATTACCTGATTATTATTTATGATTCTGTTAGTCGTAGTAGATTTCAAGTTCCTCCAAGGCAATTACTATGTCTTTTTCTTTTAATAGTCTTCATTGTCTAGATAAATTCGCCTAAATAAATAGGCCTCTGAATTGAGTTGGAATCAAAAGAAAATGTACATGCAAAAATGGATTGGCACTAGATATCAAGATCCTTGAATACCATGTTTAGAAACTGAAGTTCTTTTCTCTGAATATAACAATGATAGCTAATAATTTTTGTTCTGGACACTATTTTAATTGGTATTCTTATTTTATATAGTCTAGTCTTCACAACAACCCAATGCCTTAAACATTGCTATTATTGCCATGTTAGAGTAAGAAAACAGTCCTAGTGTTGCAGGGACTGCCCCAGAATCACAAAATAAGTCAGGGGTGGAGGCAGAATTTGAGCCTTCATAGCCTAACTCCGGGACAAATGCTCTTAACTACAATCGCAGAACTGTGCTTCAGAAAAAAATAATTTGGCAGAAATATTTAAGGTGAATGACATGGGAGGTGGCCAAGTCAAGCACTTCAGTTTGGAAGTAATGGCAAAAGAAAAAAAGAATTAGTGCTTGCATTATGATGGTGGAGGTGAAAAATGAAAAAGAGGAGATGCATTTGTTGTTCATCCAGAATTTTTAAAAATTGCTAAATCATTACATGTAAGAAGGAAAGAAGATTTAAAAACAAAAGATTACAAAATTTTGAGCCCATGTAACTGGAAGGCAGTCTCATTCACCAAAAAATGGAAAACCAGGAAAGAAGCAAACTCACTAAGGGAGACAGTAACTGTGTGGTCAATAACACCAGTTATTTATTATTTATGAATTACAGGAGTCTGAATGTGTCATCCTTTTGTAATTTCTATTCCTTAGAGAAAAGGAATTGTTTACAATAAAGCTTATTATGTACCATTGTTGTTATTTGTATTTTGCAGTTTTTTAAGACAAAATTATGACTTATTTTTAAAAATATGTAGCATATGTAAAAGTTTCTTTTGTGAGGCCTAGAAAGAAATCTAAAAATATGGCTTAAATATAGACATGCCATCATAGCAAAATAAGAGTTTTTACTATTAGTCTTTTAACAGATAACCCCCCAAAAAAAGCTGTATGTTATTTGAAAAAATCAGTATTTTCATATATTTTTAACATTAAGAAATTTACTAAACCTCAATAAGTCTGTTTTCTCACCTACAAAATGAGAACAGTATTAGAACTAATCTCATAGGGTTATTGAGAGGATTGAATTAGATGTTATATACAAAAGGCTTATCACACAGTAAACACATAACAATACTAGCTACCATGGTTATATTATCACTATCAGTTTTTATTTTTACTGAATTTCCTGATAGGCTGGAGAAATAATCATGAGAGTAACTAATATTTATTACAAGGTAATATATAGGTGATTGTTTTATAACTATAATTACAGTAATCTTACATTGTTTCCTCTTAAAACCTGCATCACTAAGCATTTGCTTTATCTTATGGCTTGAGAAGCAGAAAGATAGCAAATAATTTATACACATTTTGTATTCAGAATTTATACTCCACACTATCCATTCAGCACTCTGGATCTGATGTAGAAACAGTTAGGAAAGAAAGAATAAGTTAGTGTTCAAAAAGAAGAAATAAATACATTCCGGAGCAGTGGATCTTCAATGTGATTAGATAATGGACCTCAGGCAAATGTGGTATTATTATCTAAAACACCAAATGGAGTTTTTCAAATAACATTCACTTTTGATGTATTTTCAATCTGAAAATCTGGGAACAGTTTTACTACATTGAAACATTACTGTGCAAATTAAAAATACTCTAAAATCTCAACTCTGTGACTACAAGTCAACAAAAAGTGAACTAAGTAAGCATATGTGACTTTGCGTTTTTCCAGTAACAATTTTGCCACACATTTTGTTATCTTTTAATGCTCCAGATGTCTAACAACGATAAAATTCAAAAAGTGTATATTCAAATAATATAATTTTTAGTCAATATTATCAATCAGTTCCTTCCCACCACCCCACAAAATGGGAATACTGACTTACTTTTATGATATCAGGAGATTACAGTCCTGTTTGTCAATCACCAATGTTCTTTCTGAGGATAGCTTCTGAATCACAACACATAAACAAGAAAGCAAGGGAGAAAACCTACTTAAGTAAGATGTGGTGATATGGCTTTAACTGCAGCACTTTAAAAAAAGACACAGAGGTGATATTTTCTCATGGGTATAATAAGAATCAATGGTTAGATGTGACTGCCAAGAAAGCTAATTGGACTTAAACTACATTAACAGTAAAATTATCTCTATAGCAAAAAAACATGACATTTCTTTCTGCTCCGAAGTGGAAAGGCAACACCTACGTTACTGGATTCCGTTCAAAATTTAGAACTTTTACCTGGCTAGAAACAGACAATTAACTTTCAGGATTTTGCCACCAGTATGGTGATGAGCAATGATATAAAAAAAGTGCCTTGTTCCTACACTTAGATCATGGAGACACCCAACCCAGCAAACCACCCCTGGCCCAGGCCTCCATGCAGCAGAGAAGCAGGGAAATAAAAAGAACGGAAAACATGAACTCAATAAGATATAAAGGTGCTATATAGTGACTGGAGAGTTGACAACATGAAAAGACCTATCATCTACACACAGTGTTCATTACGGTAGCTGCTAGCTACAGGTGGTCTTTGAGCAGTTGAAATATGGCTAGTCTAAATTGACAGGAGCTGTGAAAGTAAATTACATATTAAACTTTGATGATTTAGTGCAAAAAAAGAAAGTAAAATATTTTATGTATAATTTTTATATTGATTGCATGTTGACATAATAATGTTTGGGGTATTTTGAGTTAAGTAAGATATATTATAATGGTTTTCCTGTTTCTTTTATGATATTTAAATGCAGCTACTAAAATTTTTGAAATACATATGTACCTTACATTTCTATTATACAACATGTTTCTAGACTAATGGTCAGCAATTTTTTTTTTCTGTAAAGAGCTAGATGTCTCTATAACAACTACTCAACTCTGTCGTTGTAGTGTGATACAACCATAGGCTATACGTAAACAAGTGCAAGTGGCTGTGTTCCAATAAAACTTTATTTGTAGACACTAAAATTTGTTTTTCTAATTGATTTATTTATTTTAATTGACTAATAAAATTGTAGATATTTATTGTGTACAAAATGATGTTTTGAAATATATATTCACTGTAAAATGGCTAAATCAAACTAATGTATGCATTACTTCACACACTATTTTTTGTAATGAGAAGACTTATTTCCATTTTCAATTCTTTGAGGAACCTCCATATCATTTCCCATAATGCTTATACTAATTTACATTCCCATCAACAGTGTTCAAGGATTCCCTTTCTCCACATCATTTCTAAACCGTGTTATTTTCATCTTTTTTATGTTGGCCATTCCAATAGATATGAGGTGATATCTCATGGTAGTTTTGATTTGTGCTTTCCTGACGATTAATGATGTTGAGCATTTTTATACATACCTATTGGTCGTTTGTGAGAAACATCTATTCAGGTCCTTTGTCCATTTTTAATCAGGTTTTGTTTGTTTGTTTTTGCTATTGAGTCATTTTAGTTTTTTTATATTCTTTGGACATTAACCTCTCATCAGATATATGGTTTGCAAATGTTTTCTTCCATTTTATAGGTTGTCTCTTCACTCTGCTGAGTGTTTCCTTGGCTGTGGAAAGCTTTTAGTTTGCTGTAATTTAATTTGTCTATTTTGGCTTTTGTTGCCTCTGCTCTTGGGGGATATATCAATTGCCCAGAAAAATTTCATGGAATTTTTTTTCCTATGTTTTCTTCTGATAGTTTTACAGTTTCAGGTATTACATTTAAGTTCTTAATTCATTCTGAGTTGATTTTTTAAATGATGTGAACTGAAGATCTAGCTTCATTTTTCTGCATGTGGATATCCAATATTCTCAAAACTATTTATTTAAGAAAATGTCTTCCCTTATTATGTATTCTTGGCACCTTTGTCAAAAATCAATTGACCATAAATGTGTGGATTTCTGGGCTCTCTATTCTGTTTCATTAATCTGTGTGTCTGTTTTTATGCCAGAGCTGTTTCGATTGCTGTAGCTTTACAGTATATTTTAAAGTCAGGTAGTGGGATGCTTTCAGCTTCACTTTATTTGCTTAAGATTGCTTTGGCTATTCAGAGTCTTTTGTGGTCCCATATGAATATTAGATTGTTTTTTCTATTTCTGTGAAAAATGTCATTGGAATTTTTATGGGGATTGCATCAAATCTGGTATATTGCTTTGGGAGTGTAGAAATTTTAACATATTCTTTCAATCCATGAACACAAAATATCCAATTTTTTATGTCTTCTTCAATTTTAGTAGTGTTTTATAGTTTTCATGGACATTTATAATTAAATATTATCATGTGTCACAAAATATTACTTTTTAATGTGTTTTCAACAACTTTAAAATGCAAAAGCCATTTTGGGGCATATAAAAACAGGCTATTCATGAACAGTAGTTTCCAAACCCATGTTCTAGACCTTATTCTGCATTTATTAACTTTAGTCCTGAGTAAAATGACTTAACCTCTATCCTTTTCTAATAATTATGATATTTCCAGTTTCACTAGAGAGGTCCCCCACCTCTTGGAGTTTCAAGTGAGGTAGCATATAAATAACTTTACAACTTGGTTAAAAAAAAGATAAAGTTGGTCGAGGATAAAAATAAACTGCTTCTAAATGTGTTAGGTGTTTAAACATAGGCTTTTCCAAAAAACGGTTTTTATACAGAGAAATTAAATGCTACGAGTGCAATTTAATTAAATGTATAATACCTTATTTTAAATCCCAAACACACACTTGTGTTTTGTTATATGTTAATTAAATTATATTTGAAACATTGTGAGGGGAAATTCAACAAAGGATTTCAGAGTATAGTTTCGGACTTCTAGAATCGAAATAGTTTATTAATTGAAAACTGAACATCCATCAAAGAGCTTCAGTAGGAATCTCATATCCGATTGATAACATTTCTTTCTATGTTGGTGGTATAATACTGTAGGGTTTTAATACAAAGAAATGAGATCTTGAGAAATAGATTGATATAATTCTTCTCTTTAGCTTTCATTGTACTGATAATGAATTATCTGCAATCTATCTGAACACATACTTGGTGATTGGAAATAAGTTGATAATTAATATTTTAAATTGTGATTTTAATAAATCCTCCCCCAAAATTTTCATTCTCTTTGCCAATTCTTTTCGTGCTCTTCAGCTGAGTTATAAGTATAGAATATGTGATGCAATTACATGGAATTTACATTTCTTTAGTTAATAAATTGGTCTTAATCACTAATGGGTTCTTTATACTGATTGTATGTTGAATTGGTTTAAATTGCCTAACCATATTTCAAGGTTAAATACAAAAGTATGTCAAGCTATTAATTTTGTGTTTCTGTTTTTGGTTTGAATGATGTAGGTAGTTGGAGCTAGAACAGGAGATTAAATTAATTTCTGCCATTGCCTTAGCCCAGCCTTTCTTTGCCTATAATATATCTATGACATTTGTCCTCATTCCAGGAGAAGATGAGGAAATCTCATCAGGATGAATGACCAGCCCTCATTAAACTGATGACTTTCAGGGAGATTTCCTTTGATCCTCATGCATTGAAACATCACCTCCCTGAAGAATTACTTTAGCAATGAGAAATTTGTAAGTGAACGAACACCAACCTAAATCAATCAAATCAACCTGGCTATTTCAAGGGCAAAAGGGAGAAAAATAGAGAGTGTCTTCCAGCTTCTGACAGAAAAATCAACATGTCTGAGCTGTAGTTTGGCTCATGTGTGAGGAGCAAATATTTCCAGTAGACTCTTTGCTTTGTCAAATCCACATGGCCTGAACATTTATGACTTTGTTTTGGAGGCTAAGAGAAATGAGGATAGTCTTTGCATTTTAGAGCATACAATCCAACCGATCCTATGAAAATGTCTTTTGAATCTAGATCATAAGATTCCCTCAGTCTCTGCAGAAAGTAAAATTTCATTTGCAAAACAACCCTAATCCTTCAAGCTTCTATGAAAACCTAGGTAAAAGACAGGACAAAAAAAATGCCTTTGCAAACAAGCACCAAGGGAATATGTGTAGCCCACATCCATCATCCACAATGTATCTCTTATTACACATAAATTTGTCTTGGAGAAGGGGGAGCAGCTCATAGTGATTTTCTTCATCTTACTGGGGATAGAATTTCAAAATTGGCCAATTACAGTATTTCATATTTCCTTGCTACTAGCCTTAGCATACAATAGTTGTCTTAAATAGTAGGCAGAAATATATCGTATTTGGTTAATGTTTATATTCCTGGTTGTATATAAATCAAAGTTGCAAGTGAGATTTTATTTTCAATACATATTTTAGAAAAAAAATTGTTGTATTGTGTTTTGCAATTATAAAACTAACATATGCATAATCTAGAGACTTTGGAAAATACTGAAATCAACCAAGTATAAAAATCACATATAGTACCACTACCCAGAAACAACTATTTGTTTTTAAAATGTATTTTCTTCTAGTCTTTTTTCTATGTTGTTGCATTAATTTATTCAATTAATATGTATACTGCCCAACACATACCAGGCATCACACTCTTATTTGGAAATATAATGGTGAATGACATTGATACTTTTCAGTCACAGAATTTATCATTTAGCTAAAGAGACAACCAATTAAACTAATGCAAAATAACATGCTTTGTGCTTTGACAGAATGAGTCAGACTATAATAGTCACACATGGGAGGGAAGAAAACAAGCTCAAACCTGGAGGACAGCACAGAAGTCTTTATAGAAGAAATATTAATTAAACTTAGGCCTCTAAGACTGAGTAGCATTTAGTCAGGTGAAGAAGGAGGAAGAAAATAGAAAAGCATTGAAATACAGGAAATATTCACTTTAAAGGTCTGGTGGATGTTCTAAGAAGTAAATAGCAGTTTACTATAGCTTTAGAAAATATAGAGGCTATTTGAATAAAGTTGGACTAGCTCAGTTACAGCGCCATCCCGCAGTGATCTGTGGATGTATGTTAATTCAGCTGTTGGACAAGATACTTTTATAAAGAGATCCGATATACAGTGTCACAAACAAGATGGAAGTTTAGTATTTACCTATGAAACCATACAGAGAAAGGTAAGTGGCCTACTGTGGATAGAGAGCTCTTGCCTACCATATCATCTAGAAACCAGGTTCCTTCTCTCTTGTGGTTCCTCTATTTTCTAGAGTATTGCTCACTTGGTCACACAGTCCAAATTAGCCCAGCTGCACCAATTCTTGCTTCCAACCTGTGGGAAAAGTGAGGAAGTGGACAACACACAATTTCTTTTTGAGGAACTTACAAAAAGTTTCTCAAAACTTCTTTTGTAAGTTCCTCAAAAAGAAATTGTGTGTTGTCCACTTCCTTACTTTTGAGGAGTTGTATTTTGTTGACTGTATCAACAATGTACATTCCTTTTTTTTTTTTTTTTTTGGATAGAGTGTTGCTCTTGTCACCCAGGCTGCAGTGCTCTGCCTCCTGGGTTCAAGTGATTCTCCTGCCTCAGCCTCCCGAGTAGCTGGGATCACAGGTGCCCACTACCATGACCAGCTAATTTTTATATTTTTTAGTAGAGACGGGGTTTCACTATGTTTGTCAAACTGGTCTCGAACTCCTTACCTCAGGTGATCCACCCACCTTGGCTTCCCAAAGCGCTGGGATTACAGGCGTGAGCCACCATGCCCAGCCAGATTCCATTTTTGATAACCTGATCACATGACCATTTTGGGGAATATCTCTAGCTGGGTGGCCGAATGCCTTCAGCCTTAAGGAGGATATTCTCCCCTTTGTAACAATATGAGTGAACCAAAAGGACATGGTGCTAAGTGACATAACCCAGACACAGGAAGAAAAATATTGCATGAGCTCATTTGTATGTAGAATCTTTAAAAAAAAAAAAAGTTCAAATATATGTAGAGAGAATACAACAGTAGTTACCAGGGTTGGGGTTGGGGCAGGAAGTGTAGGTCAAAGGAAATAAAAGGAACAAATAAGTAGGATGAACAAGTCGAAAGATCTAATGAGGACTCTAGTTAATAATAGTGTGTTGTATTTAGAATTTTTGCTAAATGGGTGGCTTATAGCTACTCTTGCCTTGAGGGTGGTGGGGAAATAGGAAACTATTTAAGATGATGGATATGTTAATTTATATCATTATAGTAACATTTTATTATATATATATCATATATTGTATACCTTAAATATACATGATAACATTTGTTTTATTAAAGGCAAATGGGAGAGTATTTGCAACATCATGATATGGAGTCTGAACTATATTTAAGGATAATGGGAGGCTGCTCTACATTTTTAACATGGGAATATTATTGTCAGATATAAATCATAGAACATACCCTTGGCTATGGAGTGAAGGATGAATTGGAGGCCAGCAGCAATGAAGACAGGGCTACCAGATGGGAGGCTCTTGCAAAAAAGAAAAAGTGGGCATAACATAATGGCATCATGGTCTAGAATACAGGCAGAGGAGTCACAAGAGGAGCGCTTCACTTGTGAGGTAGAAGGAATTATCCATGTGGGAGAATTGCAGGACGAGAAGCATAGTTTAATATGGAAGGTGAGGATAAACTGAAGATATCTGGCTTGGCAACTGGGTGGGTGGTGCCATTCACTGATTATATGCATATATTATGCACTATTTTAGAGATCGCCACAAAATCTAGTGGCTTAAAATAACAAACCTTTATTTAGCTCTTTATTGTGTGGGTCAATTGGACGGGGCTCAGCTGAGTTGCCTCCTGCTGGTCTCAGCCAGAATCTTGCATCTTAGTCCATCTGTGGGTCAGCTAGGATTCTGGGAGTGACTGGCTGTAAACATGGTATGACAAGGGCACCTTGGCCAAAGTTCTTCCATCAGCCAGCAGGTTAGCTTGGACTTAATAACATGATGCCAGCAGATTCAAGAGCAGAAAGAGTAAAACTGCCACTACGAACAAGCACTTTTAAAGTTTCTGTGTATGTCATGCTTACTTTGATCTCATTAAGCAAACATGAGACAAGGCACATGGCCATGCCTAGACAGTGCAGGAGGGAGCCATGAAAACCTTATGGGTCATTATTGAAATAATCTATTATCTTGATGTAGGAAACTGAATTCAGTGGAGTGAAAAAATTGCACTGGACTTGAATTTTGGACAGTGGAAGTGTGTCACATCTTTCTAGGAGTCAAATCTGTTTAGTGTTGACTATCACTTCACCTCCTTGAACTTCATTTTCTGCTTGTAGAGAATGAGCCTGGTCAACTCCAATGTTCTTTTTCTCTCTGAGATTTAGGATGCTAATTGATTAGTATTTTGTTTCTGGTGGTATAAACAAAAAACCATTTTGAAGCTCAGACTGTCAGATATGGTTTCCTTCAACAAGGAACAGAAAAAAAATTGAAGTAGCAAAAGTCTATTTGGTTGAGTCTTTCTGTTCTAATAATCTGTGATTCCACAATTTGTCACTGATTGTCCAATTTTCATAGACCACCTTGTCCTTATGTTAATGTTTGTTTATAGAAATTAGTGTGTCAGCATTAGTCACCACATAAATGATCTCATTCGGTCTTGCTTTCAATTTTCAGACAAACTATATAAATGACAGCTTTGAAATGTGTTCTTTGCATTTTGCACAACTTGGAGAAACATATGAAAGAAGATTATTTTCTAGGATATAATTTGTGGACTATTTAGTAAATTTTACTATAAAGCTTTGACTAACTAACTTGGTTTATCTAAAATTGGTGTTTTAATCCTGCATAATTATGATATCAGTTGCTGTGGGGCCACAGGCTATCATAACCACTCATCTTGTGGTGCAGAGTAGAGGTCATGGAGCAATAATAGAATCATATGATATGGCTTAAGAGCTATATGGGACAGTGTAAATTATTTTGTTTAAATCATCCATATTATAGCAAAGAAAATAACACCCAGAATATGTAGGCATATTGGTCATGTCATAGAGTGGGAAGGCCATACAAATTATAACTCATACCCAAGTTCAATTTCATCAAAAATAAAAGCCTAGACTAGAACCATGTGGCTTCTAACTGAGGAATAGATTAATTATCTCTAAAAGGCAAGAAGTTTGCATGAACAACATTATAAGTACACTGGAGGTTATGTGGTATAGTGGAACTGGTCTTATGAAAGATCTCCCACAACCAGCTATTAGGACAAATAATCTCTTTGAAATGCCTGTTTCTTTATAGGTAAAAGGACATATTTTTTGCTTCTAAGGATTTCATGAGGATGAAAAAACATGTGAAGATCATGCAGTATTAAATTCTGGGTATATATAAATTTCTCAAAAAGGGTTACTTCTTTCATTTCACCCTTCAATGTACATTAGCTCTCTGACTTATTGGAATGGTCTTGAATTGATTATTGTTTAGGGGAGAATATATAGAAATGAACAAACTGTTGGTATCTATTTCGATGAAGAAAGGTTTATGCTTCTAATTTGGCATTTGCCCAAGTGAATTCATATAACATCTTTAACTACTATATGTATCAGTTGGGAAAATGAATAGCTGGAGAATTGAACTGGGTCAGGGATATGAAATCTCATTCCATTTTGTCATGAATAAACTCTGTAGTCATGAGTCTTAGTTTCAACTGCCAAAAAGAGAATAAAATATATCTGCCCAGCCAACTTTACAGGGATTTTATAAGGGTTGAATAAATCATTTTGAAAACAACAAATACCAAATGCACTACAAAAACACGAACTGATTAAAATATCTGGAATAAATACTTTTCAAGCAACCAGGGAATTACTGATACCAACTTTTGTTTACAATGGCAAATGGAGACAAACATATAGTGAAAATACAAACACACAATGAAATCCAGTTTGACACTGAGGTCCTGAAAAATAAGACTGCTTTCTTTTAGACATGTCTTTGAACCCTTTTCCTTTTCAGTGTTCTCAAATGGTTATCTGAAATTGTAGAAAATGAGTGTAAGTCCTGTCAACATTGAAACTCTCGCACCTATTGTTTAATTGACTGCATTTCTTTCTTCTCCAACCTCCCTAACATTGTTACATATTTTTTTCAGGCTCCTTTCTTTTTGTCTGAAGACCACAGAGGTATAGCTATTTATTTCAGAGAAATCTAATATTTTACATATATATAAACTACTGCAGATACTAAACACAACATGAAAAGTACACATACACATGCACACACCATAGAAAAGCAAAATGGTTTTGACTTTGGTTCCTAATGAAGTATCAGATTGTGAATTTATACACAGCATCCTCATATACTAAAGGATTATTTCACACCCTTTTCACTTTATTATTTTTCCCCTTCCTGCCAGAAAATGTGCACATGCAGTGGGCTGTAGAGGGCAACACACACTCATGTGGAATATTCCCCAGTCAGAAGAAATGAACTGTCTGTCTTGCTTTAGATTTGGTGAGCTACCAATTTGTGATAGTTTCCTTTGGATTTCATTACTGGGCAACCAGAATGAATTGACAGAGAAAGCAATCGACATATGATGCACCCACTGGAACTTCTAATACAGAATGTTGGCTGCTTCTGTCAACAAGGCCAATTACCAAAGGTACTCAAAGGGTAAATGAAAGCCAAAATAAGTCACATGTTTGCATGAACCACATCCTGTAAACCTATTAGTGAATTCAGAGTAAACGCAGGATGACAGACTGCTTTGTCTATATAACATTTCAGGTGAATGCCCTGTCCGTACTGTGTTCTCGAAAGGCAGATTCAGATGTTTGTGGTAAGATAAGAGCTTACTGTTTGCAAGAGAGGGAAAGAGAGAGAGAGAGAGAGAGGGAGATTGACTGACTGATTGTATACTGATGCCAAGCCATAAATTACAAATCAGGAAATTTTTTTTTTAATAATTAAGCCTATTCCTGCTCACCATGTGTGCTGCTTTCTGTGCTAGTGCATGAAGTTTAAAAAGACAGTACAGACTCAGACTTCCAGGAGCTTATTAATTCATGCCTTGCAAACAGCAATCAACCATCCTTTTAATAAATATTTATCGAGCATTTACTCTGTGCAGACATTCTATGCTAAGTAATGGTGATATAAAATTAAACAAGATAGTCATTACACTTATCCTCATGGAATTTATAGATTGGTAGGGGAGAAAGAAAATTAAGAAATCTGGGCCAATATAGTGTGGGATAGAGAAAGTATAGGATGATAGTGATGCTCCTAATCCAGATTTTGAAATCACTATAGATTTGAGGAGGGAATGACATTCCAACCAAGACTTAAACTATAAGTAGGAGTGAGCCAGAGAAACTGAAAAAGCAATGATTATTCCTTGTAGTTTAAGCAACAGAAGTAAAAGCATGATGACAAGAAAACATGGAGTAATTTAACAAGATATGGACATTCAGAATGTCTGGAGTTTCATCAGTGCTGGTAAGGGGAAAGAATGGCAAGAAATGGAGATGGAGGGCTAGCTAGAGGATACATCCCAAATGTGAAATTAACTTTTTTTCCAGGTAGTACTGAAGAGCTATTAAAGAATTTTGACCTGTGGCATGGCAGGGTCAGATAAGCCATATTAAAATATAATGATTACTATAAATAGAGAGATATAGCTATAGCTATAGACACAGACATATATACACACACACTTTAAATATATTGTAATTTTAAAATGATGAAAGAGAACACACAGGTGGAAGCAAACAACTCTTTGGAGATCGTCATGAAATAATTTTTAGGAAATAGAAGTTTAAGTTTTAATTTGGATCTTGAAGGGAGAGCTCTCTCTCCAGTTTGCACACTGACTAATTTTGCAGCCTATGCTGCAACCGCATCCGAGTGATAGAGAAACCTCTGTGTGTGCCATGGATAGTGAGTATGGGTGAAAGGTGCTGAGTAGTCTACTATGTCTGAGGGAATCCCAAGGATTTTAAATACATTTCTCCTCTCAACCTATTGAGGAAGTCAAGGTATTGTTCTATTCTCTGTGAAGATGGAGACATGCATCTGTGGACAACTCCCACAATTATAAATGATTCCTTGAAATAAATTTGAAGCAGTTTTCTTTGGCTTTGCTCTACTGGTCTTTATTTTGTCCTTTGTAGTTATTTTTTAAAAAATCTAAAATGTCTTTGCTCTGTCAGTTAACTGTGTATTTGAAGTGATTAAATATGTCTTCGGAGCGTTTTCTTTTACTCTTATAGACTAAACTGCCCCGTTTCCCCAGGTATTTTTCGCATGACATGGAAGGTTGCAATGGTTTCATTTCACTCATATTACTTTTGAAAAATTGGCTGAGAAGCCATCAGCACATGATGTTACCATTGTAACTTTTGTTGTTGTTGTTGTCGTGGTGGTGGTGGTGGTTTTTTATTATTATTATACTTTAAGTTTTAGGGTACAGGTGCACAATGTGCAGGTTAGTTACATATGTATACATGTGCCATGCTGGTGTGCTGCACCCATTAACTCGTCATTTAGCATTAGGTATATCTCCTAATGCTATCCCTCCCCCCTCCTCCCACCCCACAACAGTCCCCGGAGTGTGATGTTCCCCTTCCTGTGTCCATGTGTTCTCATTGTTCAATTCCCACCTATGAGTGAGAACATGCGGTGTTTGGTTTTTTGTCCTTGTGATAGTTTACTGAGAATGATGATTTCCAGTTTCATCCATGTCCCTACAAAGGACATGAACTCATCATTTTTAATGGCTGCATAGTATTCCATGGTGTATATGTGCCACATTTTCTTAATCCAGTCTATCATTGTTGGACATTTGGGTTGGTTCCCAGTCTTTGCTATTGTGAATAGTGCCACAATAAACATACGTGTGCATGTGTCTTTATAGCAGCATGATTTATAGTCCTTTGGGTATATACCCAGTAATGGGATGGCTGGGTCAGATGGTATTTCTATGGACACTATTGGTTCTTTCTAACTCTTCTACCATCCTTGCTATTGTTCTTTGAACACACTCTAATCATTCTAAGTGTATGATTCTAATTCAGAAATTTCACTCCTTATGATCTGTTAAGGATATAATTTCAAAAAGAACAAAACCTTTGTTCACCAGTATGTTAATTAGAGGGTTATCTAAAAGAGTAAAAGTTCAGAAGCAGCTTTAACGCACCAAGGGAATTGGTATTACAAATTGAAATTAGGTACGTCAATGAAATAATCACAACCATTGATAATAATGATGACAGTGTTGTTGCTTATTCGTTAAGATGGCTTATTAGTAGGCCATTTAAAAAATTCCCTTTCTTTTTGTTCTGCTGTCTGTGCATTCATTAACTTTTAATAGTGTGATGTCTAGAACCCAGGACCCAGATGCTTCTCAACTGTCTTCATCTGGGTCCTAATGTGCAATTTTAAGCTTGATTTAACTACCTGTAGCTGTTTTTTGGTTTGACCCTGTTGCATTTTCTTTCTCCATAGCATGTAATATATCATTATGGAAAACAAAACAATCAAAACTAAGAAAATAGAAAATATCAGAGTTACATCCATATTTTCCTATTTTTACAGACAGAATCACTGGTTTATCCATTGGTTCAACAAAGGTCTGTTGAACATTTACATTAAAACAACAACAAACTCATATTGGGATCTTAGTATGTAACCACAACAGGCATTTGGATCACAGTGGAAACTCAGGCAGGTATAGTCTCTTGGCTCATGAAGCTAATATTCTAATGAAATAGATGATTTATTAATAAATAACATTTTTCAGCTTATGATATGTACTATGAATATAAGGAAATAGTAAATTTATATGTTGGCTTATACTTCTGAATAATTTTCTATGAATAGTATTTATATTTTTTCATTTATCCAAAAATTGTACCATACTCTTCATATTGGTAAGCCATATTTCATCTCTACTTAACAAGCTATCATAGTCATCTTTTCAAGTAAGAAATAAGCTTCTCCAACATTATAATCATTTCATAATCTATAATTTCATAAAACTATATTACTCAAAAATTGCCACCTTTTTGTAAGTTCAAATTATCTTTTCCTATTATAAGCTACTTTTTATAACCATCCTTACAATTAAATCTATATACATATAATAATTATTGCATCATTATAGTATCCAATGGAAAAATTAGGGTGATCAGTTGTCTCTTTATACAAATTACAAATTGACTTCTAGAAAGATGAAACTGTTTTTCCAACAGAACTATATAAAAGTGCTTATTTTTCTACAACCTTTCCCACACTGGTATTTAAATTTTATTTTTAATTTTAATTCTGAAAAGTTCTGTCTGACTTGTCTGACATTGCCTTCTGCTATGCCTTCCGCCATACTGGTTCCATGCTCATTTTCAGCCTACTGCTAGCAGGTGTCATTTGAACATTTGTCCAGCTAGACAATATTGAACTTCATTCTATGTAGAAACAGCAGTTTCTCCCAACTCTCTGTCCTTAGGAATTTTCTGTATAAAACATGCTTTTTACCCACCAACTACTTCCTGACCCTCCAATTTGTCAACAGTCACCCTTTGACACAAAAGGGGCAAAGAATATTTAATTTTAATTTTTCTTTAGGAATATTGGAGAGATGACAATGTTGGTACAGAGAGTTCCATTATTCAGAGCTGTAAATTTCAGTCTCTAAGTTTTTAAAACGTTTTTTTCTTTTTACAGTAGAGCTCTTTCACTTTCTTTGCTTTTACTTAACTTCAAAATTGATGTCTAGGATGACTGCCAGCAATATTAAATCATGCCATATGTTTTGCTTAATTACACTATTTCCTGAATTTATTTTTTGAAGTTAAATTTTTCTCTACTTCGTCAAAACATTAGGAACACTCTTTGTCACACAGATTAGAAGACGAAATATTTTAAAATTATATCTATTTGAAATGTTTCCAGAGATTGGGTAGGGGATGATTTCACACCTGATCATTTAAATATACGTTACAAATCACAGGATATCAGAGTCTTATGGTACATGGGGTTAAGTTAATCTAAAATAAAAGCAAGGTTTAGATGTCTTTTGGGTTTGAAGTATATATTCAATTTACTGTATGTTAAAGCTCAAGTCATATTTTTTCTAATATGTTGGTTGGTTCTGTGCATGGTTAATGTATCAATTTAAGAAAAACATCTGCATCTTATTAATACTTGTATTATAGAGAACGTTAAGATGCATTATAACTCAAACAGAATGCCCTCCTGGGAATCTTATATTTCTTTTTTGTTTTTACATCTTCAACAAATCATAAATGGTTTTGAGGTCACTGGAACGTGTTTGCATACAGATTCTTAAAATGTATGTTTCAAAAGGCAGGTGAAAGACTTGCTAACAAAATTATGTTGGACCTTTTTTAAAAAATGTATGTTATTTCCTTTATTATTTAAAAGAAAAGGATAAGCACCTAGTAAATATCACCATGCTGTGATATGCAAAATAGATGTCCGATTTTACTAATAGGTTTCTCTATTAAATATTCTACATGTTCTCTAATATTTTGGCATCAATTTTACTTTTATCTTTGTAATTTTCTCCTAATTCCTCTCCATCACTCTCTCTTATCCACTCCAAACATTTTCAGTTTGAGTAATTACATGGACTCCTCTGAAGGTAGAGTAAGGGTAGTTTGCAGAACTATTAACAAATCTTTAACTTGAACATGAAATTAAAAGGGACATTATGCCCCAGAGGAGCGGTAGTATTACAGTTTCTTAGCAGTAAAGTAAATGATAAAAAGAATGGAGATGGAAATTATAAAACTGACTGTGCACTGTTGAACCAGTCAGATATTTTAAAACCAAGGTGTCTAGAGACATGTGTAGTAATCAATAAGAAAAAAAAATAATAAAAAACAGAAACAATTCTTATGCTGTAAGATGAACAGCTCCTACTTTCTTAATGTGATTTTCTTAATGTGAAGAATAGACTTTCTTAATGTGATTCAGGACCACCCTGTAGACAATGTGTGAACAAGAGCCGCTTCCATAAAAACATGGCATTGCATCCACATCCCTGGGCCCTATATAGGAGCAAGTGGATAATATATCTGAGTGTAGGTCTCAGGAATATGTATTTTTTAAAATTAAATTTTTTGTGACAGAGTCTCACTCTGTTGCCTGGCTGGAGTGCAGTGGTGTGATCTCAGCTCACTGCAACCTCCGACTCCCAGGTTCAAGCAATTCTCATGTCTCAGCTTCTTGAGTAAGTGAGATTACAGGTGCATGTGACCACACCCAGCTAATTTTTGTATTTTTAGTACAGATAAGGTTTCAACACATTGGCCAGGCTAGTATTGAACTCCTGGCCTCAAGTGATCTGACCGCCTCAGCCTCCCAAAGTGTAGGGATTACAGGCATGAGCCACTGCACCCGTCCAGAAATCTGTATTTTAATAAGCACTCTGGAGAATTTTTAAGCAATTGAATAGCACACACAAAAAAGTTGGATTCCCATTTTTAGATAAATATAGACTCAAAAAAGTTAAGTGATATCTTCAAGTCTGTATACCTATGCAACTTGTTAAAACTCCAGAACAGTTCTTTGATATCTAATCCATTGCTCTTTCTACAATGCTGCACTGAATGTATTATTCAGGTTTTCCTGGCTTTGATATTGCATTCCAGTTCTTCTAATTTTATGCCCTTTTATTAGAAAGGTGATGTACATGAGAGAAAGTACCTAGTTAGGGCATGCCACCCAGAAGGCACTGTGAAGACATCAGAAAAATAAATGAGTGGCTGAGCAGAGTTACGCTTCACAGGATCTCTCAAAGTAGGAGTCCAAGGGCTACTGTGAATTTTATAATTTCAAACAGGCAATGCCAAAAGTTTATCACCAAATACCTATGCACAGGAAGTCAGTCTTGGAGTACAAGGTAGTATTTGAATTAAATTTAAGGATTCCCTAACTATACACATTTTATACCTTAGAACATGTCACTAATAAAGAGCATGCATGAGGTTGCATTGTTTAAAGATATGTGTGAATTGACTCCATCTACATTATAGACTATATCCTACTCTGTATCAAAGTCTATATAATTATAGACTTGATCACAGTCTCTATCATTAGACTTTCAATGAATAGACAGGAAAAAATAATTCAGTTTCTGAAGGCCAATAGTTGGATAATTGGTAAAGTCTCAATATTACCATTAAGGCCGTCAAGGTTGATAGGAAATATATTACAAAGAGAAATAGATACAGTAGGAAATTACATTTCTGAAAATCGTAGTTTCATGTAATGTACCTACTCCTCTGATTTAGGTTAATAATAAAACCCATTTGAAAAGATGAAACATTGCCAGAATGTAATAAATCATTGCTTCTCTCTATCACTTCTACTCTCTCCTCTCTTTCTTTTGCCTCTTCTATTATTTACCTGTTCTGCATTGCCTGTTCACAAGTCAAGAGCGTGAACCATGAACCACAGAGCTTCTTTTGGGTCATTTGAGGTGGCATGTGGAACTAGATTTATGATGGATCAAGGGGATCACAGTCACTTTGTGGGTTTGTCCAGTTGTTTTTATTTTTTATCTGAATATATCAAAGTCTGAGCAGCAATCTGAGGTCAGCTATTGACAGACCATTCAGGAAAGCATGTATGATGGAGAAAAGCGAACAAGTCACTCTCAAAAGGATGATGTATCCCTTAATTCACCAGCTCTTTAGCTCCTGTCTGTAGGTAACTCATTTGTCCTAGCCCCTTGAAGATAATTCTTAGCTGAAAGTCAATGGCCTGCACTGTTATTTTTAGAAGGAAAAGTTATTCTGCCAGGAAGATTCACTGTGTGTATACAAACAAGAGCTGTGTTTTTTCGCTAGCATACTGAGCATGGAGTGCCTTAGTTTTTGAGCACTTTTATATTCCAAGGTCTTTATGTCCTCAAAACTTTCAAAACTGGAGCAATGGGGTCCTGAACCACCTTCTTGCTGTCACTCTATTTGCTTCCATACATACCCCCAACATTATCTAAACAAGACTATGTACCCATTCTTTCTTTCTTTCATTTTTATCCTTTCTGTCCCTTCATTTTGGCCTATTTTTATCCCCTTCTTACTCTTCATGGTCTTGCCTACTGTCAGACAATTTAAAATACAAATCTAAATTAAGTTAAAAAAAACTGATCCATTTTTTTTCTCTTAAGAGTCATATGTGCATCCAGTTCTTTCTGCTATGTGTCTGTATAGAAATAACAATTTATTTTAGCTTCTCATGACTTTTCTGGATAATCCCTAATCAAATCTCATAATGTCTCTTGTTCTGGAAACTTTGTTTTAGGGGACAAAAGGCATAGCCCTGATGTCATGTAATTCCAATTGTTTGTGACAGATACAATGTAGTATTCATTAAAGGACCATTGCATCCTGCTGTCGTATTAGTCAACAGTGCAATTGTTTTTTCACTTGGGTTATGATGTTACTCTTTGGGAGTTGTTTTTGTTGCTGGAGATTCAGAGTCAATGTTCACATATTCCGAAGTTAAGTACCGAGTTATCCTGTACCATTACTGTCTTCTTTTTCTCCAAAGAATTATTGCATAGGTTTTTCATTTTCTTCCTGACTTAGACCCTGTCTATTAAGTTGTTCATTCAAAAGAGAACTAGAGCTGAAAGATTTGTAGTGGAATCAAAACAAAGTACATTCTTAATGTGTCAATAGTCATTTCAGATTCCTCATAAATCTTCAGGGTCTCTTAAGAAAGTCTATTTTTATTACCTGGATATTTTAAAGCAAAATATTGTTGAATTAACTACCTAAATCTTATCTAAAATGATTTGTAATGAAAGCATTAGTTCAAGACAAGCATGTACGTAGGATATTATGTGGAAGGTGGCATAACATCATATTATTTATAAGTTTTAAGGTTTCATTTATCCCTGAAATATTCCAATCCCTATTGAACTGATTATGCACAGCAACTCTGAGGACTGCAGAGTCTTTACACTGGATTACACGTTGTCTTTACAATATTTTTCTCTTCTGAATTGTCTTAGCTCCCTAGTAAGATTGCATTCTCTCTGAGGGCTTTTTGCTCTGCTGTTTCAGCCCTTTATACATGCCTTTATTTTAAGCGAGTGCGTAATGGGCTATCGTGAGTCACTTATCAATGGTTCCTTTCTGTTACTGATGGCTGGATCCTCCAAGACAAGAACTGAGCCCTGGTTCTTTATCCCACCAAGAAATATTCAGCGGGGCATTTCGCGAGCACTCAGCAAATATTTATTGTTCTGGGGTTGTATTGAAAGCAAATAATCATTTATTTATTTATTTTTGTCTCCCATTAGAACATGATACATAGTAGGTATTGAATAAATAATTGTTTTCATCACTTTGGTTGTCTTCTTCTGAGTATATTTCTTCAGGACAATAAATACAGATGCTACATTTTTTTTCTAGTACTTAAAGCTAAAAATTAAAATACTGATATTATAACCAAGTGTTTGTGATGACAGCTATCAGATAGTAGGAATCACTTTCTTTAATATTATAAAATGAAAAGTTCCATGTCTTCCAAAACACCTGAATGGTTGACATCTTTAATTTTTTAATTAAATAACTTATTTATTTTAAAAAATTAATAGACATTATTTTTAGAGCAATTTTAAGTTTACAGAAAATTTCTGCAGAACATACAAAGAGTTCCTCATATGGCCCCTTCCATACCATATACACAGTTTCCTCTATTATAAACAACTTGCATTCATGTGATACATGTTTTATGTGACAATAATTGACAAACCAATATTGATACATTAATAGTAACTAATGTTTATAATGTACACTAGGGCTGACTCTGTGTTGTATATTATATACGTTTTGCTAAATGCATAATGTTATGTATCCATCATTAGAGTATCATACAGAATAGTTTCACTGCCCTAAATTCCCGTGTTCCCCTTTGTTCCAACTATTCATCCCTCCTGCTTACCTTTCCCCTCATCCCCACAAACCCCTAGCAACCACTGATCTTGCTACTGTGTCTGCCTTTCCCAGAATGTCATATATTTGGGAATCATAAAGTATGTAGCCTTTTTATACTGGCTTCCTCTACTTAGCAATATGCATTTAAGATTTATCCATGTATTTTCTTGGATTGATAGCTCATTTCTTTGTACTGATGAATAATATTTCATTGTATGAATGTACCACAATCTGTTTATCCACCCGCCTGGTGAAGGACAGCTTGATTGTTTCCAATTTTAGGCAATTATGTTTAAAGCTGCTAGGAACATTCGCAGACAGGTTTTTATGTGGACATAAAATTTCAGCTTATTTGGGTAAATATTTTTTTTTCATTTACTTACCATTCAAGTCCAGCCATTGCTAATATGCAGTGTGTGGTTTTGTCACTTTGAATACAATACTTATCAACATTTGACCGGTAAAAACAGGGAAATTGTGATGCTATAATGATCTATCAAGTGCAGATTTGGCTTGCAGCGGAAATACTGTGCAATGGCTGAATACGTAGACTCAAACAATAGGTGGACTGAGTTCAAATACTTCTCCTTTATTTTTTCACCCCATGGTCCTGGAGAAGTGGCTTACCTTTGGCTCAATCCCTTCATCTCATCTCAGAATGGAGACAATAGTGGTACATCACAGCGTTGTTATAAAGCTTAAATGAGATCACATTTATAAAGTGCTTAAAGCAGTGCTTAATTAGAAAATGAGCTGTTATTACAGAGATTATGATGTTGGTGTAGATCTTCCTACATACATCAGATTTGTGAATGGAAGAAAAGCTGAAAATTATCAATCTGGTGAGCTTTAAAAACAAAGTTTGTCATTTGTTCATGCATTCTCAACAACTACGTACTGAGTATAAATGTGAGCCAGAAATGTTGCTGATATTTGAGATATTAAAAGGAAAGACAGAATCCTTGTCACTAAGGAACAAATGTCTCAAGAAAAGAAATGACCTGTAATCCTAGCACTTTGGGAGACTGAGGTGGGCAGATCGAGGTCAGGAGTTCAAGACCAGCCTGGCCACCCTGGTGAAACCCCATCTATACTAAAAATACAAATATAAGCCAGGTGTGGTGATGCACACATGTAATCCCAGCTACTCCGGAGGCTGAGGCACCACAATTGCTTGAACCTGGGAGGCGGAGGTTGCAGTGAGCCTAGACTGCACCATTGCACTCCAGCCTGGGTGACAGAGCAACACTCTGTCTCAAAAACAAAAAACAAAACAAAACAAAAAAAGGAAAAGAAAAGAAAAGAGATTATTTCCATACAATATGAAGGAGGTCTGAGTTTTCACAAATGGGCAATAACAGTCTCCTGACACTTGGCAGGCAGGAATCTGTGTTACAGAACTACCATCATGAACTCAAAGAGTCAAATGAGTCAGGTCCCTGACCCTTCCCTAGAACCACCTTACTATGGAAACTTCTGCAGTTTCCTTATCCATTCCAAGCCTCAATTCCACTGTTAAGCTTATATATTAGATGTTTATTTTATCTCCTAAGAAAAATGTGAGGATTATTTGACCTAATTAATAGAAAAGGCTTAATATATCACCTAGCACACAGTAAATGCTTAATAAAAGTTAGCAATTATTGCTAATCCATGAATTTTCATCAGGTAGCTTAGATAGATTTTAGGTTGTGAGAAGCAACTGATTTTTTAGATTTCCTATTCACAGGGATCCTAGCCTGAGAGAGATAATTAGTTAAGTTTAAGATATTCTGAATAATTTGTGAGCTTGAATCAACAGATCAGAAGTCTATTTTGGATTCAGTTAATTCAGTTTAACACTCGAGATTAAGCTGAATTCCTTGTTTTCTTTAATGAGATATGTTTGATGCTTCTTTAACTGTCTCGTACAGCTAAACACCGACAGAAGTGTGATGTCTAAATTAATGCCAGCCATACTAATCAAAGGTTATTTGCTTTACTGTTTAAACAGAGATTATTCATGGCAGGAGCTGATGTGTTTTGATTTTTCAACATGTCAGCTATAAGATCAGAGTGGATATTTTAGCCTTGTGATAACTCCCTATAAATAGAGGCATAAATTATAAATGCTCATTGATGTAATTATAAATTGTCATTTGGGATCCTTTTAACCTAGCAAAATATAATGGCCCTGAGTTAGAATACTGCACTAGGGGTGACTTCTAACTCTAACACTCTATAAGCCTGGAATTCTTGGTACTAAGAAGACCCTACTTCTTTCTACTTATCCTATTGTAAGAAATCCTTTCTGATCATTTACATGTTTGGTGACTTATCTTCCTCCTAATTGTATGCCTGGTCCAGCTACTTATAACAACTTCATGCTTATGTACCAGGAGGTAGGCATGAGTAAAATAGTAGTAAAATACAGCAGTGTGTCTCATTTTTATAGCTTTTATCAGATAATCCTTCACTGTAGTCCTTGGAAGTCAATATTTAGGGGAGATTATTAGGGAAGGTACTGTAATAATTATTAACAACTCCTTGAGCCTAAAGTAAGATGTTACTCCACTTGGAATTAAAATCCTTCTCTCTCTTTTACAAGGTGAAAGCTTGGACAAATAAATTAACCTCCTAGTTTCTAGATATTTAAAATGAGAAAACAATAGTGAAAAAATAATGGTTTTTTGATTATTTTTTTTTTTGAGACATACATGAGATTATTTAGAAGCATTGGATACGTAACAAAAGAAACTTTTTTGCCCTGTAGTAATATCTTTACGAGTTCTTGACAACTAACCCACGCCGTGTACCTGAAGCAAGTTACAGCGATGTATGAATGGGGTTGGGTATGAAATTAACAATGCCCTGCTCTTTCTTAGTGGCACAGAATGCTTTTCCATTTTGCCCTAAGATATCTCTATCACTTTGTTTTTTAGTGGCTCCAGTAACTTCTCCCAAGTTTAATGTGCCTGCTGGGATCTCTGATTTATATCTCCTTTCAAAATTCCTCCTGCAGCTTCAAATTCTCCCCTGTATAGCTTTGGTTTACTAAATAATAAATGGCCCATTTTTCCTTTCTCCTTTCCTATGCATCCAGTACAGTACTCAAAGTATATTTCAAGGAAAAAATGACAACAATCTTCAGCTCTTCTCCTTCTTTATACCCTAAGAAATTGAAGGACATCACTAGAATGAACGCAAAACAAGTGAACACGTGACTAATATTACAAAATAAACACATTGAACTCTTGGTCTCCTAAAAATGGGGAGAAGGCTGATGTCTCCATTTTGCAGTACCTCGTCCTCTGAACTTCAGGGAATATCTGAATACAGACAGAATTGACCCAATGACAAAAACACAGAGATGAGACTTGATGGCATAAGTAACAGTCTCATTTGATTCAGTGTGCACACTAAACTTATTTGACCAATTTGTACAACTTTCTAGGATCAATTCAGGATTCCTTCCATCTAGCTCAGTTAGCAGATTACCATGAGTGTGTTAATAAAATGCAGGCATTGGAATTTGGTATCTGGATGTTCCTTGACTCATTCCTTACTCACACGATGATGCTGTGTCACTCAACCATAAAATTTGCCAGCAATGGCATCAGGATCCCAGTAAGTTCTTTTCTCCACAAGATGTTTAGCATCCCCTGTAATTCCAAATGAGAGTTTGTAAGGTTTGGGAAGGGCTATCAGGAAGAATGTCTTCAAAATTTTTCATCCCTCCAAGCGCAACCTGAATGTCTAACTTCTTGGCCCAGGTAATAGTTTTTGTGGCTGGCCCCATCACCAGATGACACTTTTATGGTGTACTTATGAGTATCCTGAGCTCAATAAAACAAGGCAATTGATATTGACATAATCTCTTCTTTGAAAGAGGTGTCACATTTTGACAGGTCTCAAGGAATTACCATTGAAGCAAGAGACAAGTAACCTGATAATTCATCTTATCCGGGCCTCATCTTTTTGCCCCTTTTTATAAAGGGAAAATGTCTAATTGGGAAAAACAGCCTCTCTTTCCAAACGAAGGTTAAATAAGTCAGTAACAGGTAGAAGCAGATAGTTTGTGGGCTACTTTTCTCAATACATATTTTACTACATATGAAAAATCAGATCAAGGGTTGAGGAGGTTTATTAGGGGATAAAAAATATTTTTACGAGCTTCTATATTTCATCCTTGAGTCAATCATACTGTAATGAGCACCAAGCACAGGAGGTAAAATAAGATGGAATGTTTGAGGCAAAAGAAAATCTCTGTGGAAATTAACCCAGCCTCAAAAGAGCCTTTAAAAAACAAAATGCTGCCAACAGCAAGTCAGTCCAACTTCAGGTTTGAAGGTCAGCATTCAAAGAGGACAACAAATGCAAATATTACCTTAACCATTTACAAAGTAACTGAGGTAAAAAGAGAGTTTATTCATTAACCTGGACTACTACTGTTGGAACCATAAAAGTCACTATCCTTTTCTGACATGTGCACTGTCTCTTTTGATACAAATATGATCAGATCCCTCAGGAAAGTGTCACCTTCATGTCAATAAATGATCCTAGGTTTGCTTCAGTGTCTACAGAAATCATCAGACTTGACTCTCTATTAAAGGGTAAAGAAGGAGTTAGAAATTGAAACAATATAAGGAAAAAAGTAAATGAACCCTTTATAAAAAATTATTTTTTCCCTTGAAGAGTTAGTCATGGGTACTGTGCGTAGAGTGAAGGAAACCTATGACTGCATTTATCCTCAGGTTACTGCTTCCTAATTCCTGCTACAAAAGTGCCCGAAGAAAGGGACAAATGTCCCCAAACATCTGTGGGTATCTGAATCAAATTATTTACTTCTTTTAATGAGTAACCTATCAAGAAATAAGGATAATGTTATTGGGAGTGGTAACCCATTCAAATCCCAGATCAGAAATCATTGTCTTTTTAAGTAATATTAATGGTTGTATTCTAAATGCATTATATACCAGTATATATAAACTGATATGAAAATAAATATGAGGAAAGTTAGAAGAGAAAATAAGAATAAAAAAGGAATAATTCTATATAATTTCTCCAACTCTCAATTCCATCCTACAATCGAATGCAGAATTTTATTTTGTAACAAAAATATCCAAATTACGACATCCAAGTCATCTCAAATACCATCAGATAATAAATTGCATCATTATTAACTGCAAATTAAATCATATCAGTCAGTAAACAGACACTGATATATATGATATAATAATATAGAGAAGTTCAATTGATTGCAATAGAACTTAGGGGTTTTCTAGAATGATAAACCCAAGGAAACAGCCCACATTAGAATTATGTATGTCGGCTTTCCAATTTAAAGAGGAGCCAGTAAGCTGTGCCTGGTAAGAGACACTTTGCTACTATTACTAAGTATTTGTTTACTACATTTATACAGAGTTTATACTCGACAGAGCCTAAAGTGTTATATTGAGACTTTGGCACATCTGATATAATGAAAATAAAAGCGAAGAAAGCTAGAAAAGAGAATAAGAATAAAGAAACAAAGAGGGATAGAGGCAGGAATGGGGAGAAAGAACAATAGCAAATAATTTCTAGTTCAAATATCCTCTTCAATGCGTAAAGTACCTTGCAGTTTACCAGAAGTACTAGATGGAAGAAAGACCTAATGTAATTGAACAAACCTACTTAATTGTTATATAGCTATCTCATTTAATCTTTACAATACTCATATAAGGTGGACATTCTCATCTCCTCATTACAGAAAAAGAGCAGATTCAGGGAAGATTATCTAATCAAGTCAGACAAGCCAAATGCCTGCTCAGTGAAAGCCCTGCAATTTGACCCCAGTTTGGTTTGATTCTTAAGGTCAAGAAGTTCTATTATATTCTCCTGACCCTCAATACAGCTAGAATCTTCAAGATTTTGTCAAATGTGAGATCTACATGCTGGGAACGTTTTAGGAACTGTTTGGACATGATTATTTATGGCTTTGTGACATAATTCACTCCTGCAGTTTTTCAATTCTTTATATATTTTTCAGTTATTCTGTGGTATGTGAGGCTTATTTTCTGACACTTTTACATTTTATAAAGTTTTTAATGTTTTTTAATTTATTATATTTCATTTTATTTTATTTTCAACTTTTATTTTCGTTTCATGGGTACATGTGCAGATTTGTTACATAGGTTAAATTGCATGTTGCTGAGATTTGGCATACAAATGATCCCATCACCCAAGTAGTGAACATAGGACTCGATAAGTAGCTTTTCTTTTTTATTTTTTTATTTTATTTTATTTTATTTATTTATTTATTTATTTATTTATTTGACAGAGTCTCACTCTGTTGCCAGGCTGGAGTACAATGGCACGATCTCGGCTCACTGAAACCTCCACCTTCCGTGTTCAAGTGATTCTCCTGCCTCAGCCTCCCGAGTAGCTGGGACTACAAGCACATGCCACCATGCCCAGCTAATTTTTGTATTTTTAATAGAGACTGGGTTTCACCATGTTGGCCAGGATGGTCTCGATCTCTTGGCCTCCTCATCTGCCCACCTCGGCCTCCCAAAGTGCTGGGATTACAGGTGTGAGCCACTACCGCACCCAGCCTCTAAGTAGCTTTTCAACTCTTACCTCCATCCCACCCTCCCCCTCTAGTAGTCTTCAATGTCTGTTGTTCTCCTCTTTATTTCCATGTGTACGCAATGTTTATCTCCCATTTATAAGTGAGAACATGTGGTATTTGTAATTTTTAAAAATGTTCCTGAATCCTAATCATTTGACATATGTTTAGGATCACATAGTTAGATAGATAGAACTCAAAAACTTGAATGAGAGTTCTCTGCTAAGCAGATGAAAAAAGTTTTCTCTATTTTAATCAGTATTTGCTTATTAATGCAGTTCCCCTTGAGATGACTTAATGTTTCCTCCCAGTAAGAAGAATGAATCATTCACTCAGATTTTCTTCTCAGAGTTAGAAGGAAAATTTCAGACATCACCATGAAACAGCAAGAACACACATCTGTTGCCCATGTGAACATGTATTAGAAACCTGTCTCTGTGGATGCCCGCCTCTGCCTCTGAAGATAACTTTGAGTGTGGTTAAAAAGTGTTTATACTGAAGTATTATTGAACAGATGGCATAATTCAATATACCTATGTATATTGTTATGCCAATTTTTGGAAATATACTTAATATACAAAACAATACAAAAATATGCAAAATAATGTAGTAAAAATAGTTTTAGAAAAAATTCTTATTAACTTTGGGAGATTTCCCACTAGTGCTTTATGTTTGCAGGATAATTTCCAGAATTTATTAAAAGGTTCCCAGTAGGAATCTAGAAGGTAATGAATTACCCAAAGAATCATATTGTTTATAGAAAAATATAACAAACCTGCCAGGAGTGGCTTTCTAATTTGATTAAAATAATATATTGTGATGAAAAAAGAAAAGAAAGGTGGAGAATACCAATTGAGATGGTCTAATTCTAGAGAAAGCAAAATGTAGGAGCTAAAAGAAAATAATCAGGCATTAGGAAGTCTGTTTCTTCAATAGATCAAATATATCTAATTTTAAGAGACTCCTGGTATTCTTGTCAGATGGTTCTCTGATAGCATAGTGAGAACGATTTGAATGTTGGACCCATCAACTAGAAGTTTGAATCCTGGTTCTGCTATATGTTAGGTACATGACTTGCAAAAACTATATAATCTGTCTAAACTCATTTATTCACCTATATAATAGAGTTAATAGTGCCTACCTCATAGCACATGATCAAATGAGATCAAATAGAATTTGGTACAATCTCTAGTGTTTACCAATGAATGCTAGTTATTATTACTTGTAATATGTTTACAAGAAAGAAGATTTCAATATAGTTTTTCTTTACTCCCTTTCTTACTCTAATTTTAATCTTAAAGTTTCCTGTTTCTTTAACCATCATCTTTACAGCCCCATCACCACTATAAAGCAAAGATACTCTTAGGGTATTCCCCTGTGACGATTCTAAAATCATACAATACAATGATTTCTTGAATATGGCACCAAAAAACATGCAACAAAAGCAAAAGTAGACAAGTGGGATTACATGTAACTAAAAAACTTCTCCACAGTATAGAAAATAATCAACAAAATTAAAAGGCAACCTAGATAATGGGAGAAAATGTTTGGAAACCGTAAATCTGATAAAGGATTAATATCCAAAATATATAATAGACACATACAACTCAACAGCAAAATAATAATAATAATAATAATAATAATAATAATTTGAATTAAAAATAAGCAAGGGAGCCTGGGCAACATGGAGAGACCCTATCTCAACAAAAAGTAAAAAAATTAGCCGGGCACGGTGTTGCATGCCTGTGTTCCCAGCTACTAGAGAGGCTGAGGTAGGAAGATCACCTCAGCCCAGGAATTTAAGGCTGCAGTGAGCCATGATAGTGTCACTGCACCCTGGGTGACAAAGTGAGATCTTGTATTAAAAAAATAAATAAATAAAATGGGCACAGGATCTGAATAACATTTCTAAAAAGAAGGTATACAAATGGCCAACACATATATGAGAGTTGCTCAACATCACCAATCACCAGAGAAATGCAAGTCAAAACCAAAATCAGTTATCACCTCTCACCTATTAGAGTGGCTATTAAAAAATAAATAAGATAACAAATGTTGGTAAGAATGTGAAGAAAATGGAACCCTTATACTCTGTTGGTAGGAATGTAAATTGGTGCAGCCACTATGGAAAACAGTATGGAGGTTCCACAAAAAATTAAAAATAGAATTGCCATAAGATCCAGCAATCCCACTTCTGGGTATATACCCAAAGGAATTCAAATCACGATATCAAACAGATATCTGAACTTCCACGTTAATTGCAGCATCATCACAATAGTCAAGATATGGAAACAACCTAAGTGTCCATCCATGAATGATAAAGAAAATATGATATATAAATATACAACCAAACATTATTCAGCCTTTAAAAAAGGAAATCCTGCCATTTGCAACATGAATGGACCCAAAGAACATCATGCTAGGTGAAATAAGCCAGACACATGACAAACTCTGCAAAATACCACTTACATTAAAAAATTGAAAGTAGTTAAACTCATAGAAGCAGAGAAAAGAACGGTACCTTCTCGGGTCTATGGAGAGAGAGAAATGGGAGGTATTAGTCAAAGAGTACAATGTTGGCCGGGAGCGGTGGCTCACGCCTGTAATCCCAGTACTTTGGGAGGCCGAGGCAGGCGGATCACGAGGTCAGGAGATCGACACCATCCTGGCTAACACGGTGAAACCCCTTCTCTACTAAAAATACAAAAAATTAGCTGGGCATGGTGGCGGGTGCCTGTAGTCCCAGCTACTTGGGAGGCTGAGGCAGGAGAATGGCGTGAACCCTGGGGGCGGAGCTTGCAGTGAGCGGAGATCGAGCCACTGAAATCCAGCCTGGGCGACAGAGCGAGACTCTGTCTCAAAAAAAAAAAAAAAAAAAAAAAAAAATGAGTACAAGTTTTAGTTGTGCAAAATGAAGTCCCAGAGATCTACTGCACAGCCTACTACCTATAGCAAGCAATGCTATACTTAATACTTGCGTACTTTAAAATTTGCTTAGAGAGTAGATCTTAGGTTAAGTGTTCTTATCATAAAATAATAATAAATAAAGAGGGTTGGAGGAAACTTTTGGAGGTGATGATGAATAAGTTTATGATGTAGATCATATTGATGTTTTCAAGGGTAGTATACACTTATCTCCAAACGTATTTAGTTGTACATTTTAAATATACACAGCTTTTTCTATGTCAGTTATACCTCAATAAAGTGACTTTTTTAAAAAAAGGAAAAGGCCATCAATAATTACAATTTTAAATAAAATATAAAAATTAAATTAAAAAAGTAAAAACACGGCTGGGCGCGATGGCTCACGCCTGTAATCCCAGCCCTTTGGGAGGCCCAGGCGGGTGTATCAGGAGATCAGGAGATCGAGACCAACCTAGTTAACACGGTGAAACCCTGTCTCTACTAGAAATACAAAAAAAAAAAAAAAAAAAAAAAAAAAAAAAATTAGCCGGGCATAGTGGTGGGCGCCTGTAGTCCCAGCTACTTGGGAAGCTGAGGCAGGAGAATGGCGTGAACCCGGGAGGCGGAGCTTGCAGTGAGCCGAGATTGCACCACTGCACTCCAGCCTGGGCGACAGAGCGGGACTCTCTCAAAAAAAAAAAAAAAAAAAAAACGCTGACTGATAAACATTTTGTCCATATGATTGTTTATTTGAAGTCCTCTTTTATTACTCCCTAAAATCATAGCTTAAGAGTCAGGAATTGATTATTTACACAATGAATAATTCATAAGAATGTATATTTGCAAGCCAGTGATACCTTCAGCCAGCGTCCCAATGACCAAAAGCCAAATTTCTGAAGAGCAACTAGATTCAGTATTATGCTTGGCCAATGATATAGTGGTAGCACCAAGAGAGAGCCATCAGCAGGATAGAGGTGGCTTTGTTACAGCAAATGAGGAGAGAGTCACGTTCTCAGGTTCTGAGACAACTTACCCCGTATACAGCATATTTCTGTGAACTCCAGATAATCAGTTTATGCTTGTGAAGACTGACAGTTGCTTACTTTCAATATTTGCTTTTATGAAATACTTGTTAGGACATAAAATTGTCCAGCCAATTTTCAACACCAGAGACAGTATGTACTTGATAATTATAAGAAATGTTGAAGGTTGACGGCAGATTTTAACATGCAATATTTTCTTATACTTATTTTAAATATACTAATGTCACCTGGGCTACAGTTGTTCTAGGGCAGAATTATAGAATATAAATTAAAGGCAGATCCAGTTGGTTAATGGCCAATATAATGGGTTGTATTTGCCAAATCAATTATCTACCTCAGATTGACCCCACCGTTGCATTCTACTCCCTTATTACCTAGGCTTTTTTTTTTTTTTCATTTTAAAGTCAATTTCAACTACTCTAGCACATCACTAAATGGTTAATACTTTTCCCAACAAAGACTAATTCTTTGTCTAGGTCGAATTAATCCATTCATTCAGGCTTGTGGATGTTTGTTATTTTCCATAAGATTAAATGTATATTGCACAATCATCCATAGTCATAAGATTCTTGGCCAATGCTTGAGCGGTTGTTAGGGAAACAATGTGAATATCCAGTCCGCTGTAATATTGAGCTAAGTGCACACACATGCACACACAGAGACTCGCATGCACGGAATAGCTGTCAACAAGTTTGTTAAATATATGTCAGATAGGTAGAAGATCATTTTTCTTTTTAAGGATATTACTAATTATGTGTGTGTGAACACATATTTCATTTACATTAAATTCATAGCATGCTTTCTGTTCACAGCAATAATATTTTATGCTTTAATGGTGTTGTTCACCATAGAATCCAATGATTTCAAGAATTTTACATGAAGTGAATAGCAGATACTATTATTAAATATATTTACACTGGTGATAATCTCAGCAGATAACCTTACACAGTAAAAGAGGAAGGGTAGCGGATACTTTACACGTATTATCTCATGAATCTCACCAACAAGCAACATCCCTGTGATACAGATGTTATTATCTCAGTTATACATAAGAATACTGAATCACAGAAATGAAACAACCTGGGTGTGCACACATAAGTATGAATTATACCCAAGTATTAAGAACTAAGTACACAAGAATTGACATTTATGCCCAATCCTTTCTCTGACTTAAATCTTTAACCACTATATTATATAGCTTAGGATTCCAGTTTCCCAGCTTAATTTTCCAGATTTTCCCCAGGCACAATTTAAACAGGGAAATGACCTAACCATAAAGTTCTGAAAACCAGTTCAAGAACAAAGGATTCTTTGGAAGATTTAAAACATAAACCACCACAAAAACCTTGCCTGATTACAGTCTAGATTAAGATCCTCAGATGATCGTTCTCTCCATCTAGAACGCCTGTTTCACTTGTTTTCCTTAAAACTCCCTACTCCCTCAGGTTTAATTGAAGCATAGCCTCCTCCGTGAAATATTTTTTGATTTCCCACAAAAAAGGGTTATTTTTCCTTTATGTAAATCTTGTATCTTGTACATGGTTTCACTGAAATATACATGCTCTCACAATTACTGTCTTAATAGTTCATAAACTCTGTGAGACGTCTGAGAGGCCATTTATTAATCTGCATTGCATAGTAGTTCCAAAACTTCAGTTCACATCAAAGTCATCCACAGGACTCATTAAAACACAGGTTGCTCAGCTCTGCCCCCAGAGATTCTGAGTTCATTGGTCTGGGATGGGGCCCATGAATTTGTATTTCCAACAAATTCCCAGGTGATGTTGATACTGCGGGCCCACAACCACAATTTGAGCACAACGCATGTATCAACTGACACATAAAAATGTGTTAAATAAATATTTTACTCTACACTGAACTTTATTCTTCAGAACAAGTTGTTGTAATTAATTGTTTACAGTATGAAGACTGATAAACTAACAACCATCAGATATAGCAGTGATTCCCACAAACAGAAAGAAGGGGATATCAGAAAATATTATGAAAATACACCTCAGGTTTTTTTCTTCTCCAATATTCCTAACCAGTTATTTAGAACTAACCGGAGGAAGTAGAAAAGACTTTCAGCTTTGAAAGATAAAAGTAATTTCAGCTTTCTGTCTCTTCTGAATTTAGTCTTTAGGTTCTTTGATGCATTTATCAAAAATGCAAAAACTAATTTCAGTTTGAATGATTTGGGTGAAGGTAGATATCACACAATAGGAATAGACTTGGATTTTAAGCTTTTTATAGAAATAATTGGGTTTAAAACAGCTGCTTTCTGGGCCTAGACGAAGCCTAATTAATTAATCTATGTTCTTCAAAAAATAATTTTATATTTTATATTATAATTAAATTGGTATGTTTTATTTAAATTGATAAAAATGACCGAGTAAATACTGCTTAGACCCAGTAAGATGTTGCCCTTCTCAAACTTTGTGTTAGGATCTCCTACTGACCTCCAACTTCCATATACACCTCCAAACATCTTTAAGTTACTCTGCTCTTTATAACTTTATCTCCTCTTCTTTCAAAATCAGTTTTTAAAGAAGATTATGACATTGGTCATTTTTACTTTAATATGACTTTAAGTCATACTTCCTCCCTTGGTATTTGTTTGAAGGTTAATTATCCATCTATAATATTTAAATAAATCAATGGCTTTGGTACCTGCCAAATATCTGTCAGTAAAGCAATGGAAAACACAGACACATACATGCTCACACATATATTTTACTTCTAACTCCATATATGTATGAATCTCAGCTTTAAATCAGTCTTTTCTTGAATTCCACTAAACTAAGTATAGCAGAGGATCTATAAACAGTTATAGTATAAGCATAGTTTTGTGTCTTCTCTTCACTTGTGTGTGCTTTCACAATAAAGAAATGTGATCAGAGTCATTAACTCCAACTTGGAAGGGACGTTTTAGCTATGTAAGGCAAACCTGACATCTAGTAAGATGTATGACAATACAGTCACTGAACAATACATATCATGATGCATTCACTACTCCACAAAGCTATCCAATCTGTGGTCAATAATTCTAGAAATATTTCTTTCAATATTTTAAAGTTTACCCATCCATTATAGTTCTTTCTCACAGAAATACACTTACCATCTACACCCCAAACACTATCTTTTGTAAGAGTCAGTATTAATAAAATACTTTTAACATTACCCAACATGGATCTAATATGCCTACAAAGCAATAAGTCATAATTTAATTGTTCATGGAAATGAGAATTCTTGATCAGGTACTTCAATTATGATTATGATAATTTTCTGTGATTATTCCTGAAGGCTTCCCATGATGAACTGCTTGCCAGAAAAATCAAGCACTCAAGTTAATCAAGTGAAATAAGTTAATCCATTAAACACCAAAAGAAGATTCAAAGATCAATTTCTTCATCTGTCTTGCATCAATTCATTTCTTGGTGTATGATCTGAATTTATATAATTTATGGTGGAATGTCTAGTTTTAAAGTTTGATGTCCTAGAAAGTGAATTTAGAGTATAATGCTCAAGAACCTAACAGGCCCAGATTAGCAAAAAGTTCATCTTTGCTATTTACTGAGTTTATTATATGTCATAAGAAGTCTAAACAACTCCATCAGATTTTCATAAATTTGCATTACAGCAGAGTTTCTCAACCACAGTAGTATTGACATTTTGTACTGGGTAATTCCTTCTTTTTATAATCTATCTTCTGCACTTTAAGAGGTTTAGAATTGTCACTGGCCTCTACCACTGTATGCCAGTAGCACTCCCTCAATTTTATCAACTAAAAATATTTCTAGATAATGACAAAGTCATTTGAAAGGTGTAACTGTCCCTAGTTGAGAACTATATTTTAAACAATTTGTTGTTCTTTTGTTTTCTTTCCTCTCAAAAAACTTCTGGATTATTTTATAATTTCTCCATTCTCCTCCAGAGCCTTTATCAGAATTTTGCTTAGAAGAAAAAATAGTAATATTCCAGTCTGTAGGCTACCTCAATGCAGAAAAGATAGAAAGGTAGATTCAAATCACAAGAATAAGAACTAAGAATTTAAAAATAATCAAACTTACTATTCCTCATTTTCCACCTTCCCCAAAATGTAACAAAATTTGATCTCAGAGTATAACTTAAGAGAAACATTACGTATGTGACACGTAAAGAAATGTACACCAACATTGAAACATAGGCAAGTAACCCACACATGCGTGGGGAAAATATTGTTGATGACAAATTAATCAACAGCTCAGAAAGTGCTAATAATCATTTTCTTCATAAGGATGTACACTATATAGTATATGCCATTGTCATCACCATTATCAAATAATGAGCTGCATCTTTTTTCTACTATATGGTTGGAGAAATATCAGACAAGAGTGATAAAACCACTAGTGGATAATCATTGTGTGTCATGAGACTCTACTAAGAATTTTCAATTAAATGCAGCATTACTGGCCTCAAAGATAATCAACCCGAGCCCCAAAGCCATTAGTTGAGTAGCCTCTTTTATTTCTCATTCTTGTGTCTTCTCATTAGCTTCTCTCATGCTGTGCTATTTATGAAGTATTAAACACATGGTGAAGATTTTCAAATGTTATTTTGGAAATAAGATCTATCAATCAATATAACTTAAGTATATCCAGTGGTTACAGGTACTTTTTGAAGGAAAAAATCATAAGCAAAGCAACATGATATATGAGTTGGAAGCCCTGACCTTGCTCAATATTTGTATGTATATGTTCTGTTCCTCAGGAAGTGTAATTTTGTCCTGTGACTCCTTCCTTAGCTACAAGTTTTTATTGCAGGCTAGTCTAAGGATACGGACCACTATGTAGGTAGTAGACACATTTAACTCCCCCACTCCAGATACACATACACATACACACACACACACACACACACACATAAGCACACACATTGATATGCTTACACTGTCCCTGGTTTTGTCTCTGGGTGCTAAGGAACACTTGCAAATTCCTCTGCTCACTTCAAAGTTGGTAACTTCATCAAGTTCATATATGCCAAACACTGGGCTACAGCATCTGGCTGTAAAGCTGTTTAATCTCTCTGGGAGTTTATCGGTTTAAATCCATGACTAACAGTCATATAAAAAATATGGCAAAACCAGATGTCTTTAAACTCCTGTAGTTCTTTGAAGCTGGAGTACATTTCTCTCTGGTTTCTCAAGTTTTCTCGCACTCCAACAAAATTCTAACAGATGTCGTCTCTGCTCTGTTCAACTCTTTTCTGTGTTTCTATATAAAAGCACCAGGGAATCAGATCTATAAGACATGGCTTTCTGCTTCTTGACCTGTAAAACTTTAGAAGTTATGTGCTTGAGGTTGTTAACTATAGCTCCATTTCAATCTTGGAATGTCTGACAAGAGGGGTTATCATGAGTGGATATTGTATTATTTTAATAATGGTGTTTTGAATATCTTAATCTTTGACTCTACAGATAAAACATTTTTGTGAACATGGATATGAAAAGCTAAAACGATAAAACTTACTCATATTATATTTCTTCTTATATTACTAATAATTCCTTGATTAATATTTCTGTTTCATGCACAAGAGTATTAGTTGGGAACGGTACCAGGTTTACTTAGCAATCTTCCAGGACCATTCTAAAAACATCAAATAAATTATATGATTGAAGTTCAAATGACATTTTAAGTTAATTACTTGTATTATCCCAAATTTTAAAGTTAACTCAGGCACCTAGAGATTAAGTGACTTGATAAATATTCATGGCTGGAAGTGAAAGCTGGGGTTTGAAACCAGGTTTCCTAGTTGTAGAGATTAAGCACGTGACTCCCGTGGTAGCCTGTCTGTCTACTCCCAAGCGTTGGTCAGTTCAATGAGAACAGGAAGTGAATCTGTGTCTACGTTTATATGTTGGTTAATCTATATGTATTTTCATGCAAGTGAGAGATAAAAATTATTCGAGAAACTTTACATAATCATTGTGCAGTCATCATACAATATTTTGTCTTAAATATTCAAATATCCCTAGAACCTGCTGAACGGTTCAAGGCTCACCTTTTCATGTCCACCTAGCTCTAGCCTGGTGGTATGCCACAAAATGTTAGACCTTGGCAAAAGCGGTTGCATTTTACTAATAGTAAATCTGTGCTTCCTCAACTTAAAAACTAAGTTATTAAGCTCATTTTGTGTCTGTATTTATGGCATCCAAGTTCTGTCCAGTATCAGGGATGGCGTGTTGATTTGTACTTTGTCATCATTCCTCTCCAGCTGTTAAAGAGAAGATTCATTTTCCATCTTGGTTAGGTCTCAAAAATACCAAAGACTTTACCTTTTTGGAATATGCTACCTCTATTTCAATTATAAAGGCCACTTCAGTCTAATTACCGCTGTTGAGGAAAGGATATTGGAAATCTGTTTGCCAGTTATTTTTCCTCTTCCAAGATGATATGTTGGTAATAAAACAAAAAGTGTGTTACAGTGGCTGACTACAGAGCCTTAAAGTTAATATTTAATAACTCCATCAGCTATATGGCTTAGAAACCAATGTGTTACTTGATTTTATCATGAGAAAATTTTGTTCCACTGGATGATATCTTAGGAATCTCAAGGCATCCATAAGGATACAACTTATAATTTTTCAAAAATTAACATAAAATAAATGTAAAGAGTTTAAACATAGTTGCTTGCCAGCTATGTGACTTTGGACCTTTCACACTACCTCCTTGTACTTCAGGTTTTCTCACTTGTAAAATGAAGATATTGAAGAAGTGGTCCCAAAGTATTTGGGGTTTTATTTTTTCCCCTTCATTAAAATTTGTAGGATGTTGAAATTCATTGCCTGATGATAAATGAGGCACTTACAGAGGTAAATATAGTATCCTGATTAATAACACAGTAGCATTTTGTACAAGATGAAGAGGAATGTTAGAATTAGTGCATTTCCTCCTTTTTGATTCTCCTAATTTCTGCTATGCTTGCTGGATATGAAATGAACTCCTAAGAAAAGATGTATGAAATCTAAAAGTAGAATACTATGAGAATGTGAAAAAATCTGATAAGAATTCTTAAACTTCCCCCAAATCTTTGTTTTGTTTTATTTTTGCTAACACTGGCTCTGTTCACCTGGTACATATTAAGTATTCAATAGACAATAGATATTAACATTTTTATTATAGGAGAATATCAAACTCAGTAAGAAATTATAAATACCATTAAATAACAACGTGAGCACATGAACTATAAGTATTTTTCATGCATCTCTGTATCTTCAGAGTCTAACGCAGTATCTGATACAGATTAGGGAATTAATAAATGCATACAGAATGAATAAATAAGACTAATTCTACCCAGGAGGATCAGGGAAGGTAAAATAATATCAACCACAAGCATCACCACTACGGACACAACAACAAACATCTATTTAGCAACTTTTCTTTCCCAGACTACATGCTAAGCATTTTTAATTCATTCTTACAAAATGGTTATATGATTTTCGTTTCCCCCAGTAATTAATGAGAATGATCCTTGTTCCTCCCATTTGACAAAGCTTGTTGTTGTTAAACTTTTTAATCTTAATAGTCTTGTTAAGGGATAATGATATATACTTTTGGTTTCATTTAAATTTTTGTGAAGGCCAATTATTTGAGCATCTTTGATAAGGTGTTAGTCCATTTTGCATTGTCATAAAGAAATATCTGAGGTTGGATATTTTATTTTAATAAAAGGTTTAATTGGCTCATGGTTCTGTAGGCTGTACAAATATGTCTCCAGAGTACGCTTTGCTTCTGATGAGGACTGGGGGAGCTTTAACTTGTGGCAGAAGGCAAAACAGAAGCAGGTGTGTCACATTGTGAGAGAGGAAGTAAGAGCAACAGGAGTAGGAGCCAAGCTCCTTTGAGTAACCAGCTCTCGCATGACCTAACTGAGCGAGAACTCACTGATCACCAAGGGGATGGTGCCAGGCCGTTCATGAGTGAGCCGCCACCATGATCGAATCACCATCCCCTCCAGGCCCTACTTCCAACATGGGGAGTTACATTGCAATATGAAATTTTGGCAGGGGACAAACATCCAAACTATATCAATACATTTATTGGTTATTTGGACTTTTTTTCATTTAGAAAGTGTATATTAAATTTATTGTTCATTTCCTATTGAGTTTTTTAATTTATTAATTTTGGGGAAAAAATTTTATATTCTACATATTATTTCCTTGTTGATTATATGTATTGCAAATGTCTTCTCTCATTTCACCACTTGATTTTTACTCACTTTATGATATTTTTTATAAACAGAACTTTGTAATTTTAATTATAACATTTATCTAATTTTATGTTGTGGTCAATGTTTCTTGTACCTGTTGGGTAAGATATCATTCATTACCCCGAGGTCAAGAAGACACCTTCCTATATTACCTTACAAATGCTTTATTATTTTGTCTTTGAAATGTAGTCCTCTCTCTCTACATAAAATTGCTTCAAGTGTAGGGTGTGAGGTAGAGATTGCTATTTGACTTTATAATTAGGAAACCTAGTTGTCTTTGCTTCATTTATTAAAGAATATTTTCTTTTATTAAAAATGTCAGAAATATGCATAGGAAGAACTAGCTCACCATTACCAGACATAGTAATTCTCCGTTTTCAAATAATAATTGTACACCAACTCTAACAACCATGATTTGTTAGGTTATTCAACTTGCTCTAATTAAAAAAAAATCCCAAATTATCTGGCTTAAAACTAATCTGTTGTGGGGAGTCTCTGCTAAAATTGAGCATATGCTCTAACCAGTCGTATCAGGGCCAGATATTCAATTCCACCATGTGGCCAGAAGGTCAGCAATGTTTGGAGACTAGGCCTAATGACAAAGTATGCTTTTCTGATCACCAAACATTCAGTTCACTGCCCTTCCTGATAACAACATATATTCTCTCTCTCCCCAGGGAAGACAACCCAAAATTCCTATCCAGGCATAGCATCATGTAGAACGTCCAGGATGACTGGGGTGTTAGCTGAATGAGTCTCCCCCTCCCCACCAAATATGCCTCTGCCCTAATTTCTGGAAGCTGTGAACAAGTTATGTTACGCGGCAAAAGAGAATTCGCTGATGTATTAAGATTGCAAACCTTAAAATAAAGAGATTATCCTGGATTATCTGAATAGGTTCAACCTAGTCTTAATCTTACAGGCTTTTAAAAGCAAGGAACTGTCTCCAGCTATCAGCAGAAGTGTAACAATCTAGAGAAGGTTTGTGTACTTCTCTGCTACATGCCCATTATCTGGCAGAGATTTTTGAAATCCCATCAAATGATTACAAGGTCCCCAAGTGTCCTTGGACTAGGCACCTATATTGCTGTCTGGTTGGGACCCTTGATGCTGCCGTCCAGAGAGTTCTTCCTTCACCATTATCCTCCATGGCCATGTCAGAAATGGACATTGAATAATTTAACCTCTTTGGGGAATGAGCATTACTTCAGCCTATCTCCTACTAGTTGGGTTTTACAGATTGTTTAATGTCTCAGTCACAGATATTTTTACTTAGTCCAGGCTGGTAGTTTCCTGAACAGCAAAACTGTCTTAGAAGTCTGTTTAATCCCCTGTTTATTTCATCTCATGAACCACAAGCCACAATCATAGTTCTTTGAATATATATGTTTACATTTACAGACATGATTCTAAAATACACTGCTGTATGTTTTTTCATCCCATAGCCGCTCCTGCCCTATCTACCTACATACCTAATTGTTTAATTCTATGAACCTGTCAGGCATAAATGAAAAACAAATATTTTCCCAGGTCGTGTTGTCCAGTTGGGAGCCTCAATCTACAATGCATCTTTGTTCTGACCCATTTGTGCCTCAATATTCTATAGCATTTTGGATATATTCTATCCTAGCACTTATTATATTCTTACATTTCTCTATGAATCTCTCTGAAGCCATCAAACCATAGGCTTTGTCTGATTTATCTTACATATTCATCTTTTAGCACATTACCGGGCCATTAGTTGTTGGCTCAATAAGAGTTAATTAAACCCACGATTGTATCCGAAAGGGTTAAAATGCTCAAGAGCCTTTAAACTCAGCAAGTCTTAGTTATAAAAATAAAAGAGTCCACCATGGTCTATAACCATTTACACTCTGATTAGAAATTTAGGCATTTGTGAAGTTGTAGTAAAGTAATTAATCATTAATATGTTGTCACTTGGGCCAAAGCTGCAAAGTCCATGCCTATGGGACTGAAGGAAATATTGTCTTCCCAATAGACTTGTCAAAAATGTACAAATTGTAGTGTCCAAACCTTCTACATTTGCAGAGGAGACATGTCAAAAGCATATATTATACCCAGCTGGAAAAACTTGAATAGAAGTAAACTGCAATTTGTAATGTTGTGAAATTGCTTGTATTTTTTTTAATGACACAAATTCAGATATACTTGTCTATGACATTTTTAAATTAGAAAGTGAACAGTGTAAAAACTAAGAATCTTATGTTTCAGAGTTTTGGGGAAACGTTCCTATAAAGTGAGTGTTTTTTAATTTTTTAATTAATGTCTTTGTGATCTAGCAAGCAGCACTTCTTATGCAAAAGTGAGTGCCTCTAAGTCCGAGGGTTGTATTTAGACAAGATTTTTTTTAAAAAAATCAATGTACAGTGGCAATTAAATATGACTCATTTCACGTTAAAACTTTACAAATGATTTGCTGAAGTGAGCTTACAAAAGATCCATTTAAAGAGGTGGGCCTATAAAAATCCTGCATAACTGCAGTGAATTTAAAATAAATTTTTATTTTATTTCATTTTTGGGTGTTTTGGGAATATTTTATTTTATTTTGGAAACAATTTTTCATCTCATGGAAAATAAACTCTTGAGCAGTACATAGCTTCGTTGCTTTCTTTTAAATTCCATGCTAAGATGATTTTACTAAAATGTTTTACTAAAACATTTGCCAGCTTTGTTTTACCTCTTGTTGCAGAATGTGGGCTGAAAGAAGCCCTCTCAATCTGTTACTTTGATTTTGTGCTCCTAAGTATGTGAATCACAGCTTGGTGACCCTGGGTCTTGATAGGTTGGATTTGCGGGCCTTGCTATTCTCAGTGCATACAATGAAGTTTGTTTAAAATACATATTAAGTAAAGAAATTTTTGTTGTTGCTGTTGTTGCTATGTTACTTTATTTACTCCTCCCCCTTGTGAATCTAACTTCTGATGGTTGAATTAACTATAAAACTTGCTCAAAATAACATCTTCCCTGATCATTAATCCTACTGAGGATGAAAAGAACCTCCTGTACCATATGCAGCAGTCGTTTCAGCGAGTGTTTTAGATGTTGCGGTTGGTGTTTAGGTCTCTGCCTTGGGCATTAGGTTGGCATTTTGCATTCTGTGTGTGAAGTCCCAGCTGGCTGGCATTAGTGAGAGGCTGAGAACCCTACTGGCTGGCTCTCAGCTCCATCTTCACAGGTGTTGAATTCAGTGGGTCCCTCAGGCCTAGATTTCACTCAGCAAACCAATAAAATCCCCACATCCATACTCAGATAGAGGAATTCTAAAGGGAATCACTTTTATAACATCCTCTTGCAGATGTAAGTATTCTTTGGACCTAAAAAGTGCCATTTTACTTTAAAATAATTTTTTCTTCTTCTCTCTACCAAAAAAAATGGAAATAACCTGATCGATATATTCATAAAACATTTGGTACATCTTCCACTTTTTTCTTGCTCTATTTGCTATCTATATCTCCTTTAAACTAAAATTTTAGAAACGTTGTTTAGGTATTTGCTTCCTGTACCTAACCATTCTAATATCTATTTTAAAACTATTAGATTTTAAGTGTTTTTACCACACACAAAAAATGACATGTCAGGTACCACATGTATTAATTAGCTCAATCTAGTCATCCCACAATGTATACATGTTTCAAAACAACATATTGTACACAATAAATATATACAATTATGTTTGCCAATTAGAAAACTAATTACTTTCTTTAAAAAACTACAGAATGGCTGGGTGTGTTGGCTTACGCCTTTAATCCCAGCACTTTGGGAGGCTGAGGCGGGCAGACCACCTGAGGTCAGGAGTTCGAGACCAGCCTGACCAAGATGAAGAAACCCCATCTCCACTAAAAATACAAAATTAGCTGGGCATGGTGGTGCATGCCTGTAATCCCAGCTACTCAGGAGGCTGAGAAATGCTTGAACCCGGGAGGCAGAGTTTGCGGTGATTCCGAGATCGCGCCATTGCACTCCAGCCTGGGCAACAAGAGTGAAACTCCATCTCAAAACAAACAAACAACAACAACAACAACCAAAAACTGCAGAATAAAATGGGATCATAAGAGGACAAGGAACATTGAGACATTGCTCCCTGATAGCTGAAGAGAAATGCCAGCAATTTCACAGCAGGAGACAGAGCTGATTCCAACCCCTATCTCATATAATTCTCATTTGGAGTCAACTGCTTCTCTCCTTGGTGAGAGTCTAGTGTCCTCTCTGTGACTGTGTCCACTGTATACCTAGATCCACACTTGGTACCTGACAGGTTATCAATAGATAAACATTGAGTGAACGTAGTAAATAACAACACTGCTGTCCTTACCTTATTATGTATCAACCATTATCTTGTTATCTCATTAACCATTTTATGAGCCTCATTTATTTGCTAAGACAGTGTAGATACTTAATTTACAACATGGAATTAATCTTACAACATCCCTGGAGGTAGGCTTTATTATCACATTATTGAAGATTAGATCATTGTGGCTCAGAGTGGTTTAAAGACTTACCCAAGGTGACACAATTTTTACATGATAGAACACATTTGAAATCTGGTCTGTTTGTCTGCAAAGCCCAGGGGACGGGTAACATTCACATCAGCACTACTAAAGGTGGACTTATCTTTGTATGGCAAAACACCATCTTACAGAATGGTCTTATTTGCACAAAACAGAAATCCACTTAGGCTAGCTTATTGAAGAAACCACCAAGGAAAATACCAGGAAATGCTTTATAAGAATGCACAATTATATTCTAAAGCCCAAGTGTAGACATGCAATCATGTCCCCAAGTAAAGCTGAAGTCAGGAACTGGAAGCCCTTAGGAATTGAGCTGTTTGTCATATAAAACGTACTGTCTAGTGGGAATAAAGACATTGGTTGAATAAACACTTGTAAAAATGTTCCCGTACTAAGTTTATTATGGTTAACTTTATTATGGAAGGTTCATGGTACTATGAGAAAATTTTGATTCAGGCTCCCACAGATGATCTCATGTACTCTCATCCAAACACTGAAGAGTCATTACCTAAGATTAAGAAGTAAGAACATCTAAAGCCAATGTCCTCTTACCTTTCAAGGCTCCACTGAAGTTAGTATATTGAAAAGATCTTTAACCTTCCCAAAGTATATTGTATCGCCACCAATAGTCTCTCATAGCCTATATTTTTCTTTCATTTCTCTTTAGTATGATTTAAAATTATTTATTTACATGTGCTGATTTTAAAGATATATATATTTATCCCACTTTATAATCAATACAAATGTTTGAGTCACCTTTACCAATGTCCCTGCCTTAAGCCAATCAGCTATGACAACAAAAAACAGTCTGATGAATAAAAATATAGCTGCCAAGACGGTCAGTGACATGCAGTGACAGGGGGTGTAGTTCAATCAATATCTGGAATTTTGGATCTTTGTTGATGTCTTACTGTGTAGATGGGACATTATACTAAAGACTGGAACATATATAAATATGCAAAACTCTGCCTTTAGAAAGCTTATAGCCTCATATGAGGGATCAGATAATAACCAAATACATTTGTAACTTGCATAATAAGCTAGAAGATAACTGCTGTGGAGAAAAGGAAAGCAGAGAAGGAAAACAATAACATGAAATTTTTAATAAAAAATATCAGGAAGGCCTCTTGACAATATGACATTTCACAAAAGTGTTGAAGAAGGACATAAGATATATGGATAACTAAGTTCTCCAAAAAAGCAGGTCCATGACTTGGAAGACACCCAAAGAATTCTATATACGATATGTTGGTTTCTACCTTCCCTTTTCATGATTCCCCTTCTAGCTAATGTCACTTTTCTTTTCTTAATCCAGATTGTCAGTGTGGCCTCCATGCATTGCATTGTGAAAAAAATAAGACAGAAAAAAGTGATGACAGTTTTTCAAGAAATACTAGTGCAGCATCAAAATGTTGTACATTATGCAATTCAGTGGTGGGACCTTTTTCTTGTGTAATCTGTAAGTGGATTAACAACTGGAAATGTTTCCATCAAATGCCTCAGACAAGATGAGAAAATGAGTGTATTTGAACTGGGATGCATCTGTGTTGTTCTATATCAGTAGAAAGAAGCAGCCTATGGAGCTCTAAATGTGGTACTAGTTAACTCATGTTCTTTCATGCATGTATCCATTCATCAATTAAACAAGAAATTAAATTAATGTCTACAATGGGCTTGGCTGTGTGCTAAGCACTGGAAATGCAATGGCAAACAAGATAGACGTGGTTGCAATGAAAAGTGAGATAAAATATATAATGAGGATGCAGGTATTAAATAAATATTTATCAAGTTCACATCTGTGCCTTCATTCCCAAAGCAGATTAGAATCTTCTGAAAGGAGCTGCATTTCTCTATGTCTCAGAAACAGATGTAGTATAGTTATTAGAGTGAGTACTAACTCAACTCAAATTGCCATGTGGAATGATACAACTAACACTGATGTTAAAACCCAGTTAGTCTTCCTATCTTCCACCATCATATTCATAGCTAACAAAACTGAGAAATGTAAGGAGACTTGCATAAGGTCAGATACCTTGTTAGCTGCAGTATTTGCACTTTAAATGAAAACCTCTGGGTGCTGTTTCTGTCACCTCATATCATTGTGTCTGTCTTCCTTTACCCTCTCCTCATGAAAATGCCTTACTCAAAAATGTTTGTTATGTGCATAAATGCCATATATGTGTTTGTATATACAGCATTTAAATTTATCTCAGTTTATGAGAATACACACAAATTGCCATATATGAGCTATATATACACGTATGTTATATATACATGCATATATAATTCATGTAAGGCTTTTCTATTTATATGCATAATATGTGTAAATATTATTCTTTTAAGTTTTTCTCTGAAATCTCACCATCTCCCTGATACACAGCCTCACAGTATTCCCAGTACAATATTCAACCCACAAATTCTATTCTGAACCTCAACTTCTTTATAAAGCTATTCTTGAAATGCTGGCTGACAATATGTCTCTCCAGAAACTTAAGCCTGTCTTAAATGCTTCAAGGATCACCAAGGCTGGTACCTTGTACATAATAAGCCATTGTTAATTAATTCTGAGTTAAATATGAATACAGTTTATTATCCAAATACACCATAAATTCCTCAAGGTAGAAAGCATATGTTATACTGGTTTATTTTCTCCACTGTTTCTGGTACAGCCGTGAGTGCATAGACACATACAGCAGTTTATAACTGGAAATGACCTTAGGAAAAATCTAACTTTGTCTCCTCATTTTACAAAAACAAAACACAGTTTTAAAAATAAAATCAGGCTTTTTCTAAGTAATAGAGATAGTTGGTTATGTTGAGATTAAATCCCTGCTTTCATAACATTCTGTATACCCCACTGAATCTCCCAATTTATATTCAATAAATATTTGTTGAACTGAACTGAATTTTGTAGTGTGTGCACGACAGTATATGTAATATGTATTCTCATATACCAATTAAAAATATATCAATAGTATGTATTGGCTTGCAAAGTCAGATATAATAAGTAAAATGGAGATAGGTCTATCCCTCATACAACCCACTTGGGGACTTTAAATAGAATAAATATTTGAGAAAAATCAAAGTGACAATGAAGTTAATTGTTCTCACTATGTCAAGGTTGGCATTTTTGTTCTGCATCATGAATATCTGACAATCATCAGCTTGAGTCACCACTCATGACATTTACTTCTTGTAACATACTATTGTTTAAAAAAAATGTTTAGCCCTCACCTCTTGTTTGGTTAACACATCCTTCTACTTAAAAATCTCCTCTCGGGCCCCCCCAAAGTTGCCTTCAGTTTTCCCTTAGAACTCATGTGACATGAATTTGCCAAGAAGAGACAGGTAGGATGATGTATCACAGGGTAAAAAAACCGGCAGAACTTAATAAAGGCCAACACCTTTCTTTTACATATGAGTAATGGAGGCACAGAATGAAGAAGCAACTTCTCTAAGGTTGCATAGTTAGGAGGAGAATTGGCAAAAGTATTCAGGCCCCTGACTTCATATTTTTAGTGTACCCTCCTATCAAGAGATGAAACCAGAAAGAAAAGTAAGATGATTACATTCTAGTTGAAATCTTCTACATTTTTAAATCATATTTTAATTTTAAATCGTATATATGATACATCACAATGCTTTAAAAGAGCCAATTAAATCTTATGGAATGTTTCTAAAAATCTTTTAAGTTTCCCCATATCTTTGCCATTCCCTATATATTTCTTTTTTTTTTTTCTTTGTGGATCCAGTTTTCTACTGGTAAAATTTTCCTTCTGTCTGAAGTGGTTTCCTTTTTCTTGTGGTGATTATGATAGTAATGAATACTATTAAGAATTTTATTTCCAAAAATGCCATTATTTTACCTTCATTATGGAAAGATATTTTTGCTAAATATAGGATTCTAGGTTAACAGGTTTTTTTTTACATACATGTATTTTTTAATCAGTGTTTTAAAGATATTGCTCCATTTTCTTCTGACTTGCCTTTTTCCCAATAAGAAGTCTGTCTTTTTTATCTTTTGTTCCTCTGTAGGAGTGGGTCTATTTTGGCTGTTTATAAGATGCATTACCATTTTTATGCAATATAATTATGGTGGGCTTTTTGTTATTATCATCATATTTCTCTGGGTTTATTGAGCTTCTTCAGTCAGAAGGCTTACAAACCTTGTTAAATTTTGAAAATCTTTGGTCATTGTTTTTAACAAACATTCTTTTCTGACAATTCTGAGACATCCTTACATATATATGAGACGCTTTAAGCCATCTCATTGCTAATTTGTATTCCGTTTGCTTGCTTTTTTAGTCTTTTTAATGTGAATTTCATTCTAGGTAGTTTCTATGTATTCAAGTTCCATTTGCTTCTGCAGCATCTAATCTGGTTTTAATTCTATCCATTATATCTTTCATCTGAGACAACATATTAACTACCTTTAAAAGCTTAATTTGGGTCATTTTTTTATCTTCTGCATCTTTTAACATGTTTATGCTTTTCATTGGCTTTCTTGAAGATAAGGAGTATATTTATAATAGTGGTTTAACACATTTACCTAATTTTTTTTGGTCTAGGTCAGCTCAACGTCTGTTTCATTGGCTGATTTTTTTGTTTGTTTTAGATTTCTTCAGTTTCTTTGCATACCTGATAATTTTCTTGTTGTTGTTGTTGTGTTTGGACACCAGAAATTATGAATTTAATGCTGGTGGTTGCTGTATTTTTTTCTGTTGTTTATTTCAACATTCTGGTCTTTGTTTGGGTATATAGTTAAGTTACATAGTGCTATTTTATTTTCTTGAAGCTTTCTTTAAAGTTTTGTTTAGTGGGTACAGAATATCCATTAGTCTTGTAAACCTAAGAAAAAGACATCAGAGAAAAATATGTACGAATATGATGTTTCTTCTGGTGTAAGCAAAAAATATTATAATCAGACAAGCACAGCAATGGCAAGTCATAGGCGCATGCGATTAGAGAAGTGTAAAGAGAAGCTTTTATTGATAAAACAGCAAGTCCATGTATGCTGCTTAGAAACAGTGTTCATTGGTTCCAGAGGTTCAAAGCCAGAATTGGCATCAGTTCATTGGTGGAGATGCCATTACCGGGCAAGTGTTCTTTGAGAGCATATCATCTGATTTGCTATGGTCCTTAGAGTGTCTAGTGATAAACCTTGTCTCAGAAATACATGCAAAAGGTGGAAGCTGAGAAAAGCATGAGATGCATCAGACATATGAGAGGATTTCTTGTGAGGTTATCTTTTAAAGTCCTTGAAACAGTTTTTTTTTTTTACTTTTATTTTACATTCTGGGTTCATGTGCAGATTTGTTACATAGATAAACGTGAGTCATTGGGATTTGCTTGTGCAGATTATTTCGTCACCCACAGGTATTAAGCCTAGTACCCATTATTTATTTTCCCTGATCCTCTCCCTCCTCCCAGCCTTCACCCTCCAATAGGCCCCAGTGTGTGTTGTTCCCCTCTATGTGTTCATATAATGTGTTCTCATCATTTAGCTGCCACCTGTGAGAACCTGCAGTATTTGGATTTTTGTTCTTGCGTTAGTTTGCTAAGGATAATGGCCTCCAGTTCCATTCGTGTCCCTGCAAAGGACATGGTCTCATTCTTTTTTATGGCTGCATAGTATTCCATAGTGTATATGTACCACATTTTCTTTATCCAGTCCATCCTTGATGGGCATTTAGGATGATTTCATGTCTTTGCTACTGTAAATAGTGCTGCAATGAACATATGCATGCATGTGTCCTTATAAGAGAACAATTTATATTCCTTTAGGTATATACCCAGTAATGAGATTCCTCAGTGGAA